>NC_000012.12:108066188-108217703 GCF_000001405.40 Homo sapiens
GCACTAGGCTTAATACCTGGGAGATGAAATAATCTGTACAACACACCCCCATGACACAAGTTTACCTATGTAACAAAGCCGCACATAAAATTAAAAGTTTAGAAAATGTCTTGAAAAGATGGGGAAAAAGTGTGGCTACTAGGAAAAAATGAATGCAAACTACTGAAATTTAAGTTTTCATAGTGATCATATGCTGAAATGATACTATCTGGGATATATCAGGTTAAATAAAATATGTTATTAAATTAATTTCACCTATTCTTTTTTTAAAAAAAAATGTGGCTACGAGGAAATCTAAAATCACTCTTGACTTTAATTATATTTCAATTGAGTGATACTGGTCTAGTCTTTTTCTTTCTATATGCTTTTTCTTTGTGAATTTTGATGAATCGCTGTGCTGTCCTAGACAAACTAACGTTTTCTTCCCTGAATCTCAGTTTCCTCACCTGTCAGGAAGACAGAATAATCATAGTTTACATTTATTGAGCCTTTATTAAATGCCAGGTACTGTTCTGAGCATGTTACATGCATTAGCTGATTTATTCCTCAGAACATCACTAAAAGTAGACATTAACCCATTTCACAGATGAGAAAACTGAGGTCTGAATGGCTAAGCCCTTACCAAAGCTGTGTAACTAGGAAAAAGCAAACCAGCCCAGATCTGAACCTAGCGCTACCTCACCCCAAGCCTATATTCATCACCACTACTCCATACTTGTTCTTTTTCATTGGCTTAATTTTAGGGTCTCGAGCACGTCAGGACACTTCGGCAGGTAGGATATTTGCAAGCTCGGGTAAAATTCTTCCTTCAGCCAGTGAGATTTAAGTACCACGTGATAGTGTCTTCCAAGAGCCAAAGTCCCACTGGGTGACATCACTTCCTCTCTGATGTAGCCACTGTGACAGCCAAACACCAAGGAGCATGTGGCCTGAGTAACCACCACCCTGGGGCTATTTTGCCCAGGGTTAGAGTGGAGTGCCTATTTTAATCTGAAAGCCAGCCCCCAACTCTTCCTACTCACCCTCTTTGTGACATTTTCATAGGTCTCTGAAATTGTTACCCTTATTCCTAAAAGGCATATTTCCAGATAAATAGACTGCTTCATTTGCCCTTTTCTCACTGAGGAAGCATGCATGTGTTTGTGGTTGTATGCAGGATAATTGCATTGTGATGTCAGTTTGTATGTACGAGAACAGTGGGTGTGGGCAGTAAAGGGGTGGGATGAAATGAGCATCTGTGTGTGTGTTTGCGCATGTGCATCATGTGTACACACATATGCACACACATGCCTAGTATCTGCTCTCTCCTTATTCTAGATTACCCCTACCCCCTTTTATTAAAGACTCAAGAGGATCTTGTTCTGTTGCCCAGGCTGGAAGGCTGGAGTGCAGTGGCATGATCATAGCTCACTGCAGCCTCAAACTCCTGGGCTCAAGCGATTCTCCCACTTCAGCTTCCTGAGTAGCTAGGACTACAGG
The DNA here is from genome assembly GCF_000001405.40 of Homo sapiens. NCBI lineage: Eukaryota > Metazoa > Chordata > Mammalia > Primates > Hominidae > Homo > Homo sapiens. The sequence goes on from NC_000012.12 coordinate 108,067,668, forward strand.
TGTGCACCACCTCACCTGGTTTTTTCTTTTTTCTTTTCCTTTTTTTTTTTTGATGGGGAATCTCATTCTGTCTCCCAGGCTAAAGTGCAGTTGCCTGATCTCGGCTCATTGCAACCTCAGCCTCCTGGGTTCAAGCAATTCTTCTTCCTCAGCCTCCCGAGTAGCTGGGACTACAGGCGTGTGCCACCATGCCCTGCTAATTTTTGTATTTTTAGTAGAGACGGGGTTTCACCATACTGGCCAGGCTGATCTTGAACTCCTGACCTCGTGATTTGCCCACCTTGGCCTCCCAAAGTGCTGGAATTACAGTCATGAGCCACTGCACCCGGCCCACACCTGGCTATTTTAAAACTTTTTTTTTTTTTTTTTTTTTGTAGAGACAGGGTCTTGCTGTTGCCTAGGCTGGTCTCAGAGTGATCCTCCTGCTTCAAGTGATCCTCCTGCCTTGGTCTCCAAAAGCACTAGGATCACAGGCATGAGCCACCACACCCAGCCTAGATTGCCTTTTTTAGGGAACTTTCCCTCCACCTCTTTATGTCATGCCAGACACACATCCCTAGCTCTCTTCTGACTGCTGGTGTAACCATGTAACCCAAACTAGGTCCTCAGTCTCTTCCTTGAAAATTTGAATCTTGGGTAGATACAAGAATAGTTGATTTATTTGTCCTTCGGACTGCCCGCCATCCTGCTGCTGAAGTCCTGGCACTGCTTGGTCACTAGCCTTCCTGAGTCCTGTTGCTTAGCTCATGTTTCAATTCTGGGAGCTTCCCAGTAACTTTCCAGTTTACTTTTTCCTTGCTTTTTTCAGTTAGATTTGATCTGTGCATTTTTGTTTTTAATAGAAAGAATCCAAAATGATGCAGAGCTGGCCACTAACCAAGAGGAAGGACCCCAAGTCTCTGTAATGTCTGCTTTAAAAAAGGATTTTGGTGGGGGGCAATGGGAAGAAGTCTTCACATAATGATAGCTCAGCAGTGACCTGAGCATTTCAGAGCCCTCTTCCAGATTTCTGTCAATTCTCAGAAGAAGCCATGTTTCTATGGTTCTTGCTTCCCCACTTTGTAGCTCCACATCAGTCCAGACATGAAACCCAGCTTCTTGCTTGAATCTCATTGTTTTAAAAAATAGAAAGACATCCAATTACATGACTCATTTTTGAGGTTAGGAGAATTTTCTGCAGATTTCAGGGGTGGTGGTGGAAGACAGAGGAGGGGTTAACATTGCTTTAATGCAGACAATTTCCAAATGGAATGTTAGGTATCATGGCTTTTCAAATGTCCCCTGACCAACACTCTTTGGGGTGGGTGGTGGTCAAGGGGTGACTCAAACTCCCTTTCCCTCACCAGCTCCAGCTCTTGCCATCTTGCTAGATTTTCTCTTCCTCTCCTCTCTCTTTTCTTTCTAATCTCCCTTCCCGACTCCACACCCTGGAAGAAAGCATAAATTATTCTTTTTGTCGAATACAGAACCAATTCTGACATTTCTCTAAAACCTTTGGAGATTTGGCATCCAGGTCTTTGTAACTTCCCTTCTATTCAGTAGCCAGCTGTTGGCATAATAATACTTTATCTACCTCGTTGCAATGATTATTTTTAGATGTGATCACAGGTAAGTACAGTAACTGTTGTCATAGCCTGTCCCTATCACCTTCCACATAGCTTTCCAAGGATGTCATCCCAGGAACCAGGGATCTGTCGGCAATTCCAGGCATCTGCTGAGAACATACGAATTGGTGAGGTTCAATGTCAACATGTGGGCTGTGGGAGGAATAAACATAAAGAAGAATGGCTTCCATTTAATCGAGCCGCCATCCAAGCACTTTGCCTGTATTACCTTATTCAGTCGCCATGAGGCCCCAAGAGGTGGAGTACCAAAATGACCCCCAACCCCAGATACAGAAATTGCAGTTTGGTGGAGCCAGGTATATCTGGGCCCCCAAGTCCCATGACCTCATCTGTTCTCTGCTGCCTCTGGCTTCAGATGGAATAGGACTCTTTCTGTCCCGCAGTTCAGATCCCCACCTCTACCCTCCTATGAGCTGGATTGCATTTTTAAAATCCAGTTTTGGATCATTTTTGCCCTCCAAATTGCTTGGTAACAGCAAGAGCCTAGAGTCCTGCTCTTCATGCTCCAAATTGAATCACATCCATCAGCCCCAGTGCCAGCACTATTGTTCCCAGGGCTTACCCAGGTTTAATTAGAATATTTTTATTTTCCCTAGGAGAGAGAGGACAGCTGATCTCAGCTTAAATAACCTTGCCATGGGCTACAGCCTGGAACTGCAGGGCTCATGGGCTATGAGATGGAGCGGCCAGCAGGGGAGGGCATGGGAGGCTGTGATGCTGTGTTTGCGTGGGGGACCCTCTGTCTTTTCCCACCGTCTGTGCATCGTGATGTTAAAAATGGTGAAGAGGAAGCCTGGCAGGAAATGTCTTTGAAGGGGACACAGGAGCAAGCACCCCCCCCACACACACACACACAAACACACTAAGGTGTGAGGGACAAAGCAGTTAACTCATCAACACATAAACTGAAGTTCAAATGCAGCAACTTTGAAAGGCCCCATGTGGACAGGCTGGGAGGCCAATGTATGGTTCACCCCACGGAAGGAGAAAAGCAGCAGTGTAGGGTGGCACTGCCCAGCAGAAATAGAATGCCCGCCTCACATGCAACTTACAATTTTCTAGCAGCCACATTTTTTGAAAGTTTAAAATTTATTTCAAATTTATTTACATGGAACTTATCAAGTAAGTCTTTTGTGATTCTTTTATTTCCTCAGTTTCTGTAATTATTTACCACATACCAATTTTGTATTATGTTTTTATGAGCTTTGCAATTCTTTTCTTTTTTTCCCTTTTTAAGCCTTTATTTTGGGTTCGGGGTACATGTGAAGGTCTGTTACATAGGTGAACTGATGCCATGGATTTATTGTACAGAGTATCTCATCACCCAGGTATTAAGCTCTTCACCCAATAGTTATCTTTTCTGCTCCTCTACCTCCTCCCACCATCCACCCTCAAGTAGATCCCAGTGTCTGTTGTTCTCTTTGTGTTCATCGGTTCTCATCCTTTATCTCCCACTTATACATGAGAACATGTGATATTTGGTTTTCTGTTCCTGTGTTAGTCTGCTAAGGATAACGGCCTCCAGCTCCATCCATGTTCCTGCAAAAGACACTATCTCGTTCTTTTTATGGCTGCATAGTATTCCATGGTGTATATATGCCACATTTTCTTTATTCAATCTGTCATTGATGGGCACTAGGTTGATTCCATCTCTTTGCTATTGTGAACAGTTCTGCAATGAACATTCACGTGCATGGGTCTTTTGATACAACAATTTACATCCCCCTGGATATAAACCCAGCCACATTTTTTTTTTTGAGACAGAGTCTCGCTCTGTCACCCAGGCTGGAGTGCAGTGACGCCATCTCAGCTCACTGCAAGCTCCGCCTCCCAGGTTCACGCCATTCTCCTGCCTCAGCCTCCCAGGCAGCTGGGACTACAGGCGCCCGCCACCATGCCTGGCTAATATTTTTATGTATTTTTAGTAGAGATGGGGTTTCACCATCTTAGCCAGGATGGTCTCGATCTCCTGACCTCGTGATCCTCCTGCCTTGGCCTCCCAAAGTGCTGGGATTACAGGTGTGAGCCACCGCACCCAGCCCCCAGCCACATTTTTATAAAAGTAAAAAGAAACCAGTGAAATTAATTTTAATAACATCTTGCCTTTGACCCAGTGCATCCAAATATTATCATATTCACATGTAGTCAAAAAGGTAATGTTCAATATGTAATAAAAATATGAATGAGATCTCTCAAACAAAGTCTTCAAAATCCGATGTGTATTTCATACTCACAACACATCTCAATTTGGACTCGGTTGTTTCAGCGCTCAATAGCCACGTGTAGTGAAGGGCCGCCATATGGAAGAGGGTTGGGTTGGGGCATGCACTCCAGATCCTGATTTTCTGGGCTGCAACATTTCACTGGTGTTGGTTAACAGCATTATCTTAGACATTTGTCTTCTCTCACTTCCTTTGTGGGATATGCAATAATAATGTCCCCTAACACTCAGGCTGTGAGGATCAAAGAGGTAATTCATGCAAACTCTTTAGCAGAGTGCCTATGCCCAGTAGGTCTTCACATGTTAGCAGTTAGATGATCAGCTAGAATTAGAATAATGACAGCTAGTATATATGATGGCATTATACTAGCCATGCCTTTTGCTGGTTGCTTGATGCTTCTCATCCACTTTAAGCCCCATTAACACTCCCCTGAGATACAAAATATTGTCTGTATTTACAGATGAGGAAACTGAAGCTCACAGAAGAGCTAACTCCTTTTGTCCACAGGATGAAACTGTAGAAAGGCTGATTAGGGCTTTCACAACCTGGCCCCCTCCACCTCATTAGCTGAGCAGAATGACTGCAAGAGCGGATTCTAGACCCAGCTGACCAGGGTTAAAATCTTGTCTCTGCCACTCACCGGCTATGTGACCTGGCAGCTATGTGACTTCTCCTCTCTGAACCTCAATTTCATCATCTGTTAAATGGGGACAATCTAGTGCAAAGGGATCTTGTGAAGATTTAATGAGTTAATATATGAACGGTAGGCACAGAGTAAGTTGTGCATAAGTGAAAGTCACTTTTATTAATGGTCACTTCCTATCTCCACTCTAAGCTCCAGGAGGACTGCATTACTGACAGTCCCCTTCCCATATAGACTACATTTTCTCTTTCCATAATATGGGTCTCTGCCCAACCTGATGCAACCTAATCCCTACATCATGTTTCTTCCTCCCCTATTTCTTTGCAACTTGCTGCCCCTTCCTCCAGGAGATCTGGACTCAGTCCCCTCCAAGGAGCATCAACTGTCCCTGCTCCTCCCTCCCCATGGGGCCCTGGGATGAATGCTTGTCCCTGTCCCATGACAAATGCTTCATCAGGACAGGACTGTGTCCATCTTTACCCCAACCCTAAGCACAGGACCTGGCCCAGGGAGAACACTCAAAAACACCTTTGACCCTGACAGAGTCTTCCCAATCCTTTAAAAAGAGGCAGTGACCATACTTTTACTGCCTTGATTCATACTGGCTGTTGGACAATGGCATAGCTCATTTTCCACTTGTAACAGGGTGAGTCTCTTTCCTCCAATACTCAAGGCACAATTTTCACACAGCAAAATGTGCCAATCTTAAGTCTACAGCTCAATTAATTTTGCCAAATAAACACCCCTGGAAGTATCACCAGATCAACTTACATAAACCAACTCCAGAAGCTTCCTTTGTACCCTTCTCATTCAGTAACATTTCCCCTGCAGGGCAGCTGTTCTGATTTCTATCACCTTCTAGTCACTTTGCCTGTTCTTGAACTTTAGATGGATGGAATCCTACAATATGTATTCTTCTGTGTCTAGCTTCTTCCACGGAGCATAATTTCCCTGAGATTCTGCCATGCTCTTCCAAGATCAGTGTTCATTCCTTTTTACTGATGAGTAGTATTTCATTGTGTGGAGGTATATTTTTTATCCATTCTCTTGTTTATGGACATTGGTGTTGTTGGCTGTACAAATCTTTTTTACACATGTATGTTTCTGTTTCTTTTACATAAATACCTCAGAGTAGAATGGTGAGGTTGTATGGTAAGAGTATGTATTACTTTATTATAAACCAGCAAACAGAGTTCCAAACTGGTTGCACTATTTCACTTTTGGCTTTAAGCCTTTGTTTTCTCTGCTGTAAAATGGGGATGATGCATGACACTCTGTGATGCAGGCATGTAAGGAAATACTAGTGTTGTCAGATTGCATGTGAACTGGCTTAGCTATGATAGCTGTCATTTGCATTTCCTCTCCTAGGGGGGTAATTCCCACCAGTGGTTAGGGGGCAAAGAAAGGGAAAGGTCCTAGTCCCATGGGCACCTGCAGGACGCTCTCAGGGCATCATGGGACCCTCTTGTCAACATTGAACAGGGGGAGTTTCACCTTAGAGGTGACCTTCCTCTCCCACTCCTTGGTAGGATTTTATTTTCTCCTTGCTCTGTAAGGCAATTCAAATAATGGTGATTATTTGCACATCCTCAGATGAGAGAGAGCAGAGGACAAATGACCCGCATAGCACACCCCTGCCACCTTGGAGAGGGACGTTCAGGTGTCCTTCCGGAGCTGGTGTAAACCTCCTCCCTGCCTGGTTTACCTTGGGGAGGAAGGGACTTTCTAAAAGGAATTCATAGCCTGCTCCCCATGTCCTTTAAGTGCAGCATAGTATTTAGGCTGTTGTAATTAAGGCTCTGTCACAGCTTCGACAGAAACAAGTGTTTCCTGGGGATCTGGATTCAGTTGTCAAAATGACCTTGCTGTGAAACCCTGCATATGATTTTCAAGCCCTGAAGCCTGTGAGTTTGAAGGTGTGTCTCCGTGTGTTTGTGGAATTTCTCCTCTATATCTTTTTATATGGGTTTCACTTTTTTTCCATTAAAAAAATTATTGTGGTAAGAACACTCCACATGAGTTGAGTGTACAATTTGAAGTGTACAATACATTATTGTTGAGTATAGGTATAATGTCGTGCAGTAGATCTTTAGTGCTTGTTCATTTTACGTAACTGATATTTCGTGCCTGTTTATCAATAACTTCCTATTTTCCCCAGCCCTCAGCCTCTGGTAGCCACCATTCTAGTCTTTGATTTCATGAATTTGACTATTTTATGTATTTATTATTTTTAACTGTCACTATGTCCTTTTTATTTTTATTTTAAATTTTTTATTTCCATAGGTTTTTGAGAAACAGGTGGACACTGCTGGTCGGAATATAAACTAGTACAACCACTATGGAAAACAGTGTGGAGATTCACAATTTGTAATTGCAAAAATGTGGAACCAGCCCAAATCCCCATCAATCAACGAGTGGATAAATAAACTGTGATATATATATATATATATGTGTGTATATATATATATGTGTGTATATATATATGTGTGTCTATATATATATGTGTGTGTATATATATATATGTGTGTATATATATATGTGTGTGTATATATATGTAAGTTTCTTGTGTGTACATATACATATATGTACACACACACACACACACACACATATATATATATATATTTCTCAATTACAGGTACCTCAGGAATGGAAAACCAAACATTGTATGCTCTCATTCATAAGTGGGAGCTAAGCTATGAGGATGCAAAGGCATAAGAATTGCACAATGGACTTTGGGGACTCGGGGAAAGGGTGGGAAGTGGGTGAGGGATAAATGACTACAAATTGGGTTCAGTGTATACTGCTCAGGTGATGGGTGCACCAAAATCTCACAAATCAACACAAAAGTTTGTATATAGATTTCAAAAGACCCAGTGGCTCAGGGCCAAAGAAACATTGGTTCAACTGCTGGCTCTGCCATGTACCATCATACCATCATCATATGGTACCATGTACCATCATGATCACCTGTGACAAGTCACTTCCCCCTCTTGGAGCCTCAGTTTCCTCATCTGAAAAGCAGGATTGTTGTTAATAGTAGTGGCACTGTGGCCAAGACCACAGTTATCCTCCTAGCATCCAATAGCCATTCTTCCCATTTCTTTCCCTTACTTTTAACTTTTTAATTTCCATGTTCACCTGGAGTAAAAACTTCATATCCTAACATTCCCTGCTATTAGAGGTAGGCATTGTGACTACATTCTGGTGGAGAGATATAAGCAAACGCGTCATATGCAGATGCCTAGAAGGATCCTAAAAGAGAAGAGGGAGCCTTTTTTTTTTTTTTTGAGATGGAGTCTCGCTCTGTTGCCCAGGCTGGAGTGCAGTGGCGAGAGGGAGCCTTTCTTTGTCCCTTCCTCCTTCCTGCTGGCTGGAATGTGGTTGTGATGCAGGAGCACAAACAGCTCTGTTGGGCCACGAGGAGAAAGCTGCATGCTGAGGATGGCAGAACCTCAAGAAAGAAGGAGTTGCAGTCATTGACATATGTCCTGGACCAACTATACTAAGCTTGTTTAACATTGTAGAGAGATAAACTCCTTTCTTCCTTAAGCCACTGTTATTTTGTTTCCTGTCCTTGCAACCCATCCCAATCCTAATTAAGACCTGCTGTTGGGAAAGAGGACAGGCCAAATTCCCGTAAAGGCTTTAGCACAGTGTCCGGTACCTAGTAATCACTCTGTATATTATGGATATTTGTGTTATCTTAAAGGCAAGAGTAAAAGAAATGGTGAATTGTGGATGGGCAATCTGGTGTCTTATTTCAGGTTTGATTTGGGTGAGGGAAATTAATTCCAAATGGAGCTCATTAAGTGGTGTGTGTGTGTGTGTGTGTGTGTGTGTGTGTGTGTGTGTGTTTGTAACACCCAGGGCCTGTACTTCCACCAGAAGCTCATAGATGCATGTGTGGGGTCTCTGTATTCTCAGGACTTTTGTCTCCATAGAGCTGGCCCCCTCTCCTCAGGCAGCTCCTTATTTTTCTGAGTCTGGAATCCCATTTCTGCATCTTTAATCACCTGGTTTGGGGCCACGGTCTGGAAGCCCTGGGCTGTGTTGTTATTCCTCATCTTTTCACCAGCACACAGAACACTGCACTGATGAAATTGGCCCTAATGATTCTTTACTGCCTTTTGAAACTAGCAATTAGGTTCCTCTAGTACAGTTCCAGAGGAGGCTGGGGAAGAACAAGGAACCTGTTGCCCCAGCTCTGATTTCCTAAAAGAAGAAACCTGAAAATAAAGGCCCTGCAGTACCCAGTGCAGTCCTCCCTCCATACCTTTGCCCTTGCTGTTCCCACCAGCTACGGTGCTCCCCTCACCATCATCCATGATAGCAATATTATTACATATGAACCCCTGCTCTGTGCTAGGCATGGGCTAACCTTCATGGCTAGCATTGTGCCCATCTTGCAGTGTGGAAGCAGAGGCTCAGCGAGGCCAAAGAACTTGCCCAAGATCACACGCCAGCCTAGAGTCAGGCTCCGTGGGCTCTGCTGGTAACCATTCCTTCCCCAAATTGCCTTTTCCCTCTGAGCCCTCTGCCACGAACCATGCATAGAGTAGGCACTCAAGACTTACTCATGGGCTCTCTGAGAATACACATGCTGTTGTTGCCATGGGAGACGGGATTCTCAGACATAGCTGGCCTCAGAATCCCTCTGCTCATTCTTATTAAACAAACATTTTCCTTCCAAACAGAAAAAGCTTTATTGTTCCTTTTTGATTATAAAAGTAATCTGTGCTCTTTTTAAAAATGCAGATGGTACACAAAGGCACAGAGAAAAGGCACTTCACCATTCAGAGATTAATTTATGTGAATATGTTGAGCTTTCCTGTGGGTCAGCCCTGAATGGGTGCACAGCAGTAGACAAGACTGACCAGCACAGATTCACCCCTGCTCCCAGGGAGCTTCCTGCTAAAACCTGGACACAGATCCTTCCAGCCTCTTTTCTATATGAAAAGTCAAGCAACACACTTTTTTAAAAAAAAGAACGAGGCCATCCTACAGAATTGTCATAATTTTTCTCTTACTAGCAACTAATGATGCCTTTCCATTTGCTCCCAGAAAATAGACTGTGGAATGTCTATTCTGGAAAATCTGAAAACAAATTACTTTGGATTCTGACAACCTGGATGAGGACTATTCTCCTCCAGCCTCAACTCTCTGCTCCATTTCCCTGATTTGCAAAACAAATGATAATTTCTTCCCAATGTTCTGTTGAACAGTAAATGAAATGACACAGAGAAAGCCCCTAGCAACAGTGTCTGATACACAGTAGGTGTTTTTAAAATGCTGGATTCCTTATGCTATGACTTAATTTTACTCCCAAGTCTAGCTGAGTGGTTTTGTCTTTGAGTTTCTTTACTTTTTCAGATCTGGGATGCTGAGGCTTGAGGCACTCATACTCCTTGGCTTATGACACATTCACATTATTGTCTGCAAGCATCTCCTGTGCGCCATTCATCCATTCATTTATTCCCCTTGATCTTCATGCCTCACTCTCCTCCTCTCCCTTCTCCTCTCACACACACCCCACTGGCAGCCTACCTAATCTGTTTGATGTATATCTTTTTATTTGTATTTATTCCTGGGAAAAGTTTCGGGTGCATGAGTTTTTCATTTACCTAAATGATACTGTGCTGTGGATTTCATCCTGTCTATTATTTTCTTCATGGCACTGTGATTTTAAGATCCACTCATGCTGTCATTCATACATCTAGGACTGCCGCATGGTACTCCCTGGTGTGTGTTCCCCATATTTTAATCATCCAAGTATTTAGGGACAGAAACCTAGAGGGCTTCAGCTTGCTACCACTGCAGACTGCATGGTGGTAGTGTACATCTTCATGCATGCTCCGGTGTGGGTCTGAGTGGGAACTTCTCCAAGGTGGAGAAGTTCACCTAAACCCTCCAGCATGGCTGCCCTGGGCTGCCCTTGCAATCAATACCTTCATGTGATGCAAATGTCAGCAAGTATCTTCTGGTCAACTCCATCTGGATCCCTTGGCATCAGGGCCCTCCCTATCCTCTGCTTAGGATCATTTCTGAAAAGGCAAAGGTTCGATATTTTGGTATAATGGCATAAAGCTTCTAACAGCTGTTTGGCATCTCTTTCCGCCTCAGAACTACTACCTCTCAGAGCCTCATCATCCTCACTTATACAATGAGTGGGGTGGATGAGATCACCTAGAAAACCAGAGTGGGAAAAGTTGGAAGACCTTGGGTTCAAATCCTAGCTCTGCCACTTCCCAACTATGTGCCACTGGGCAAGTGTCTTCACTGCATTAAGCCTCAGCTTCCTCCTCTCTAAAATGGATACCTAATAGTAGCTATCTCATAGGGGTGTTGCAAGAACAAAATGAGACAATGCACAAGAACCTCTTAGCACCTTGCCAGGCAATACATATCAGGCACTCTTAGGCTGCTGATGTGAAGATTGATGATAATTACCATAACAACAGGCCAACAACAACAACATATCTCCATGTTCTGATAATCCACGAGCCTATGATAATTGTAGTGGCATGATTGATTGACTGATTGCCTTTCATGTCTTCCGTGCATTTTGCCGGACCACCTTGAGGAGGCACTAATGTATAATGGACCTGTGGTCTGAGTGATGAACATACAGTAGATGCATCCAAAACCTTCTGCTGAACCTCTTTCTGTGGGTTTCGAACCATGGGTCTTGCTTTCAGATCTCTTTTCTGTGCTCCCCAACTTCCACCCCATGCCAACTTGTTAAGAAGGCTGATGGGCAGTTGCCAGTCTTCTATGGAAACTGCCAGGCTCCACTAGTGTATCATTTATATGTTAATGCAGATGCCCAAGTTTCATTGCTTGTTCTATCTCTGGGCCCTACTCCAATGGGACAATATGTCTCACTTTTATAGAATCCAGTAGCTGTATGCCTGGCTGCAGGTTGGCTTTTCTCTAAACCATTCAGTCATACTGAATTCTATTTTTTTTAGTATACCTGCATATTAGTAAGTCAACAAATATTTATTGAGTACCTACTATGGGGCTGACAATGTGTTTGGCTAGAATAAAGCACTGTTCTCATGAAACTGTCAGGCCACAGAAGGAGGAGTTTGAAGAACTAATTACATAAATAATAAGTGAAATTAAATTGTCATAAATCATTAATTATTAATACAAAGTGCCATATGATAGCATATTACAAAAGGAACTATCATTATATTATACAATACAAACATACATACACACACACACACACACACACACACGTATGGGAGGAGACCTACCAAAATGTGAATGTTGATTTTATTTGGGTGATGGATGTATTGAACCATATTCTTTCAGTTGCAAGAGCCAGAAACTCAATTTCAAGTTACTTAAGTAGGAAAGGAAATTTGTTTTCTCATGTACTGAGTTAAACCGTATGAAATCATCATTTTCAGGTCAAAAATTGTCAAATACTGGCAATTGTATATGATTCAATTTACTACCTGAAAAGTCTATGTGCACTGGCTTCAGGTATAGTTGGATCCAGACACTCAGACAATATCAAAATTCTACTTCTACACATGCCTCAACTCCTCTGTGGGACTGGCTTTATTCTCAGGTAAGCTCTCCACAGACTGGGTCAAGAATGACCACTATCTGCTCCCATCCTCTTTGCAGTTAGGAAGAGGAAAAAAAAAAAATGTTTCCCAATGATTCCATTGAAAGTTTTGGGCAGAGCTCTTATTGGCTAGGATTGGTAGTATACCGTGCCATGAGCCAATCATTGTGGCCAGGACTGTGATGCTCTGATTGGCCATTTCTGGGTCACATGCTCTTCTAACCCCATTAAAGGCAGGGGCATGGAATAAGCTTTACCTTAATGAGTTGGGTGGAGAGTGGGGGATATATGGCTTCTCAGGGCAAAATTGTAACATTTGAGTACTATTACTAGATCCAACAGGATAAAATGACTACTTCAGGGAGATTTCAGGTGATTGTTTTCTTTCCTTTTTTTTTTTTAATTTTCTTTTGCCTCTGCATTTTCTAAACTTCTACAATGAACATGAATTGCTCCCCAAAAAATGTTTTTAAAGTTATAAAAAAAAAAAAACAAAAGTATTGAGAATGAAATTTGGACATGAATGTGGTCTGGCTTTGTTCCAGGCTGATAATGGTTTTCTGTGTTATCCCTTCCAGGTATGATTTGCATTTTAACCAGAGTCAAAAAGCTGTGACTCCAAGGAGAGTGTAGTGAAGGAATTTAGGGCACTGAGCAAGCCCAAGATCACACGCCAGCCTAGAGTCAGGCTCCGTGGGCTCTGCTGCTAACCATTCCTTCCCCAAATTGCCTTTTCCCTCTGAGCCCTCTGCCACAAACCATGCATAGAGTAAGCACTCAAGACTTACTCATGTGCTCTCTGAGAATACACATGCTGTTGTTGCCATGGGAGACGGGCCCTGCGAGGGCCCCAGTCTATTGTCTGCTTTTGCCAGGGTCATATAGACATGAAATCCAATCGGCCTCAAAGAGCGTTCCTGAGGATTAAATCAATGACCTTGGAAGTGGCATTTAGCTCCAAATCTCAGTTTCCCCACCTTTGAGGCATGAGTAATAACCGTATAATTCCTCCCTTACAGAATTGCTGTGGGATGAAGGAGATAACAGGACTTATAGGACTTAATCCTTAAACAATGCTTGCCCCATTTCTTTCCTCCCATAGGCCCTCTTCCGGTCAGGTCATGTGGGGAAATGGTGACAGCATGGGATTTGGGACTGAGCAAAACTGAATTCAAAGCTAGCTCTGCCACCTACTAGCTGTGTGTCCCCAAGCAGGACATGTGCAGCCTCATTGCACCTCAGTTGCCGCACCTGAGAAACGGGGATGGTGATGCCCTCTGCACAGAGTTGTGAGAGGATCTGACAGGGTAGCATTTAATTAAACAACTTGACCCTTGGTGGACACTCAATAAATGCTTGCTCTCATTCCTTTCCCAGTGGCCTTTGACCTAATTCTATTCCAGAGGCATCAATAGAAATCACATCCTTGTATTTAAAGACTGTCTTTATAAATATATTTACATGCATGCTTGTGATTGTTGCCTAATGCAAGTGAAGATGACAAATTCACGCAGCCAGCAAATTCTTAGACTGTGATTTTTAAAATGTTGGTTTACTTGTTCTGTTTTAAAAACATCACATACCTACCTATTCCAAAATGGTAATTTACCAAAGGTATTCATTTATAACATTTCTTAACCATGACTTGGGTCTGATATTTCACACTATGATTTGTCCATCCATCTGTCAATCTGTCCATCTCTGTCTGCCTGTCTCTCTATCCATCCATCCATCTATCCATCCCTCCATCCATCCATCCATCCATCCATCCATCCATCCATCCACCTACCTACCCACCTATCCATCCATCTACTTAACATGTAATGACTACTTTGTACCAGGCCCATATTTCAGACACTGGGCACACAGTGATACATAAGATAGGCATGTTTCCTGACCTCATGGAACTTACTCCAGATTCTTGGGAAGTGGGATATGACTGGAAAGCTGAGGCTAAGCACTGCAATTTGGTGCGTGGGAGTGGAGCACTCCTCTCCTGACATCCAGTAAGTGGTTCGTGCAAAGTCCAGTCCAGTCCTGCAATGCTGCTGACCAGGCCACAACACAGCCATCTTCACAGCAGCCCAAAAGTTAGCCAAGCACAGCAATGGTGCCTTGCCTGGACTCCAGCCTTTACTGTCTTCTGGGGAAGCTGCTCCCTTGGACATTCTGCCCCGGGATCCACGAACTGTTCAAGAAGTGTTGGCCAACACCAAGTGAGGGTGCAAGTGGGATTTTAGGAGGAAGATGTTGAACTTCCTGCATGTGGGGGTCTGGAGTGATTGCTTGAAAATTTATACATGACGTGACTTATTTTGCATCCCAAGACTGGATTTGTGCCTTTTCTGAGCAAATCCTCACCCTGCTTTTTTTGGCTTTAATTAATCTGAGTGGGTTTCTGTTACAGCCAAAATTTCCTCAACCTCAGCCCATGAGGATTATTTTGCTTAATCTTTGAAGCAATCCTATGAGGCTGAATCAATTACTGACACCATTTGAGAGATGAGGAAATAAATGATCATATAGATGGAAGGACTTGTCCTGTGTCACAGAGTTAGACAACCTCAGAGCTGAGATTTGTACCTACAGTTCTAAAGGGTTTTAAAGACAAAAGTAGGAAAGGACATTCCCTGAAGTGTAAATGCACATGCAAGAATTCAGAGTGGGCAGCAGTTCTGCAGTTCTGCTTGAAGAGAAGTAGGAGATGAGGTGGGTACAGAGGTCTTAGTCTTATTCCTGCACTCCTCTAATACATTGGGTCCTTATGTGCTAGAGAACACAGTCAAAGGAAAGTTGCTTTTCACAGCTCAGAATGGAACTATCATGAACACTCCCTATCCCTGGTTGTGCCTCCATCGGAGGTGACTGCTCTAGTGACAGCCTGGACTGGGGCCTTTTTCTGCAAACAGATTACATCATTACCACAAGAGAGGCTTGAGTTGTGAGGATGGCAGTTTTATGGCCCATAGACCCCCCACAACTGGAACCATCTGGACTTTTAAAAGCTTGGTAATGTAACATCACAAACAATCCTCTGCATGAGATGCACAGTGTGCTAAGATTTAGAATCAGGAGTTTGCCATGGGGGAGGCAGTGAGTTCTAACAGAGGACTCAGGTGATAAGGTTTTAGGTAGGGTGATTGCTGTTTGACCTCATGTGGATGTCTCCCCTTCTCTGTGCCTCACTTTTCCTCCTGAATCAGCCTGGTTTACCTAGCACATAAGGAGACTTGGAACTAAGCATTATAGAGACGCTCTTTGTTAAACACTACCCAAGCCCGTTCTCTCAAGATCTAAGGACCTCCAATTATCCTGCATTATGGAGACATTGGCTTACAAATGGCTGGGAAATGGAATGGGTCCACAGAGTGACAAGGGTGCTTATAGCAGAGGTCTGCCTTGGAGGCTGTAAGTGATCCATGCCAGGCAGAGACAGAGACAGTTGCAGAAATGCTGATGCACACCAGGAGTGTGAATAAAATACTCATTCTTAAGAGCCAGGTCATCTCTCTACAACAACATAGGCCTCCTCCCCTGCAGCCCAGGTTTTCAAAACCTGACCTGAGAAAGATAAAGAAAATGTTGCTTTTAGAGTGAGCTTATAAGCCATCTGCTCTCAAGTTGTCACTGGGAAAAGACAGAAAGAGAGTGCAGGGACATTTCTAGGTGTGGTGTATGGAGGATTTCAGAGGTTTTCATTTGAGCCACTGAGCTCAATGAAGGGGAAAAGACAAAATAAAATGGTGACAGACTAGTTTATATCATTTGGCTCATGAGCTTCCATGGCATCATTCCACAGAGCAAGCAGATTAAAAAGAATGATAATATGTAATTAGGCAATTGTGGACACATGGCCACTCTCATGCCTTTGAATATAAATTGGTCCAGGTAGGAAAATTTTGCAGTATATATTAAAAACTTTGAAATATATGCACTTTGATCAAACAATTTTCCTCCTAGAAATTTATTCTAAAATAAAATTGGACAAAATCTCAATATATTTATTCATCATAGGGTAACTTCTAATCATGAAAACTTGAAAACAATCCTTTTGGCTAACCAATGAGAATGGTTGAATAAATTACATGATAGCCCCACACTGGAATATATATGGCTATTTTAGTATGAGCATAAAATACTTTTCTAAGTTAGAAAAATGATGTATATTTCTATTTCAAAAAGTGAAATACAATGACATCAGAAAATCAGTCTCATATTCACAGAGTTGTTTCTTATTTTACTCACTCCCCATGCTTTTGCCCTCAGAATAGTTCCTTCCTAGGCAGTTTCCTGGAGTTCATTTTGCACCGAGTTCACAAATCTTCTCTGGGGCTCCCAGCCCAGCTGGAAGTAAATGCTCTGTTTTCTCAACTGCTGTCTTCTGCTGTTTTTTATTGTCTGCCTGGTATTAAGATGATATGTGCCTATGATTTACATCCCTTCCTGGATGTGGAGATTTCTGAGGGCTAGATCCACATCTGATTCACCTCTGATTCCTCGGCATGGGTGATGGTAGGGGAGACAATGAAGTGATGCTTGGTAAATGCTCTAGCGTGAGAAAGGTGTTTAGATGAAGTACTGCAGCCAATTTTTAAACCAAACATGTTAGCTTCACTCTGATGTCCTAGGTGTTGTTGCCTTATACTCACTCTCTGTCCTTGTCAAAGTTGGCACCACTTTTTGCTCACTCAGAGCAGAAAACCTTCGAGTATCAGGTCTTATGCTGGAGGAAATTGGCACCATGATGCTCTCTAGTCCAATGAGCCAGGGTGAGAGACTTAGAGGTGTTTGCGGTAAGTGGGAGAAACCCCTTTCTGTCTGCCTCTGTAAAATTCTTGAGTCCAGGTTAAGGAGTCCACTCCCATCCGCATTCCTGCTTCCAAAGTCCCACCAACCACCAGAGAAAGCCACAGAAAACATTCAGAGAAGCAAGCGTGGTATCTCAGGATTGGAAACGGTTTGTGCCTTGATCCTCAGCTGCAAGGGAAGGCAGAGGTGCAAGGCACTCTCTTTAGATTAGAGGCAGTATTCTTGGGGAGTGGTAATTTATCTCTCTAGACATCATGATTGATTCTTACTGAAGATAGTTTCAACATCCATTTCTACATTCTTTTCTGTTGTTCTCACTTTTTCCCTTATGATTACAAAAGCAATATAAATTTTGACTGTAGAAACTTAAGAAAACACAGATAAGTAAAAAAAGAGAAAAATTTTAAAAGTCTAAATACCTCTTATTATTTTCATAAGGCTACCATGACACTGATAATGAAGAAATGGATGCTAAAATAAAATTACAGTCAACCATCCTTTATTAAATTAGGCAGAAAAATCATTAATCAAGTATTAACAAACCATATTCAGCTGTGTATGGTGTGGGGGGGCGCATATATGAAGGATATTACATGACTGATATGGTTTGGATCTGTGTCCCTGCCCAATCTCATGTTGAAATATAATCCTCAGTACTGGAAGTGGGACATGGTGGGAGGTGTTTGGATCGTGGGGGTGGATTTCTCATGAATGGCTTAGCACCATCTCCTTGGTGATGAGTGAGTTCACGTGAGATCAGGTTGTTTAAAAGTTTGTAGCACCTCCCACTCTCTCTTTTGCTCCTGCTCTGACCGTGTGAGATGTCTGCTCCTGCTTCACCTTCCACAATGAATAAAATCTCCCTGAGGCCTCCTCAGAAGCCAAGCAGATGCCAGCACATTGCTTCCTGTACAGCCTGCAGAACTGTGAGCCAATTAAATCTCTTTTCTTTATAAATTACCCAGCCTCAGGTATTTCTTTATAGCAATGCAAGAACGACCTAATGCAATGACTAATGGGAACTTCTTTAGAAATAAAAAATAAGGCCAGGCACAGTGGCTCACACCTGTAAACCCAGCACTTGGGAGGCCGAGGCAAGCGGATCACGAGGTCAGGAGATCGAGACCCATCTTGGCTAACACGGTGAAACCCCCTCTCTACTAAAAATACAAAAAAAATTAGCCGGGCGTGGTGGCAGGTGCCTGTAATCCCAGCTACTCAGGAGGCTGAGGCAGGAGAATGGCGTGAACCTGGGAGGCAGAGCTTGCAGTGAGCCGAGATCACGCCACTGCACTTCAGCCTGGGCAACAGACAGAGCAAGACTCTGTCTCAAAAAAAAAAAAAAAAAAGAAAGAAATAAAAAATAAAAATTGTAACTCATGATATTATCAGATTAATGGAAAAAAACATACAATTTTAAGAAAAGCATTGAACAAAACAATTTTCATCTGTAATATTTAGAAAAACTCTCAGAAAACTAGGAAGAGAATGTACTTTCCTCAATCTGAAAAGGGACATCAGTAAAATACCTTAGGTAATGCCATACTTAATAATTGAATATTCAATGTTCTCCCCTTACTAGCAAAACAAGGACAGGCTGGACCATTTCTATTTAACATTTTACTGGAGACCATAATCATCCAAGAAGGCAAAAAGAAAAGATATTAATAGCATGCTGATGGAAAGGAATGAGTTAAGTAAAATCTATTTGTAAATGATGTGATTATTTCCATGGATAGTAT
This sequence comes from Homo sapiens, assembly GCF_000001405.40. Taxonomy (NCBI): domain Eukaryota; kingdom Metazoa; phylum Chordata; class Mammalia; order Primates; family Hominidae; genus Homo; species Homo sapiens. Next base: position 108,086,294 of record NC_000012.12, read on the forward strand.
TTATAAAATCTACAAATAATCATAGGAAAAACAAATTGAATATATAATTCCATGTTAATATGCAAAATATACAAAAATCAATTGTATATACTTGCTACAAACTATTAGAAACAGAAATTAATTAATTCTATTTACACTGGTGTTAATGAGCGCAGAAAAGTTAGGAATGAACTTAACAAAAGACTTGCAATAATGTTAAAGTAAAAAAAAATCATAGTATTGTGGAAAGAGCTTAATAAAGAATTAAAGAAATGAAGTGGTGTGCCATATTTATAGATTGAAAAATCAAGGTGCTAATTTTCTGCAAGTTGATTTCTTAAAATTTTATTTTACTTTAGATTCAGGGGGTACGTGTGCATGTTTGTTACATGAGTATAAGGAAAAGAGGCAATTTGAAGACAACATTCTATTTCATGTTTTCTGTATGTTCATATACACAGAAGTATTTATATTTTATGTGACCAAACTATCCCCGTATAGTATATACAGTCTTTAGTTGCTTTTTACTCATGTAAAATATATTATGAATATTTTTTCATATTAAGTATTTATCAACACATTGTTTTTAATGACTGGCTGGTGTTTTTCTGCAGCCAAGAGGAACCTCCAAAGTTCTGTATGTTCCAGATAAATGCCCTGTCCTCTGCTTTAGTCAGCACTGGCAGGGGTGAGGAGTATGCCTCAGGAGATCTGTATGCTCCTCATAAAACTCTCACCCCTTCCTCCTTCTCTGTCTCATCAAATGCTCACAGCCTCACTGCAACTGTCTGCCAGGAGATGCTCGGAAATAATTTTGTCCTTTATACTTTTCACATTAGCCACCACAAGTAGCTCAGGACACCTGGAGTTTCTCTAATCCCCAAAGGACTCCATGGGCAGTGAGGTAAATCACCCTGCCAACCACAGAGGCATTGCCTAATGACCTTCCCTGACTTATTTTCTTCCTACTCCTACCATCATCAGAATATGTATGTGTGTGTGTGCATATATACATGCATGTATGTATGCATATATGTGTGTCTGTCTTTAATTACTAGGATACAAGCTTTATGAGGTATATTGGATTTTTGAAGGCAGGAATTTTTGTCTTTTCTTGTTAGGTTATAATCTCCAGTGCCTAAAATAGTGAATAGCACATGGTAGGCACACACTAAATATTTATTGAATTGATGGATGATTTCATGATAATAAAAAATACTGCCATAAACATCCTCATAGCAAATCATTGTACTCATTCAGAATGATTTACTTTTGATAAACTTTTAGATGTGGAATTTGCTGGATTGGAAATAAAAAATAGGCACCCCTTTTCCTTTTTTAAAAAAAGACATTTAGGCTATGAATGAGCAAACTGCAACATGTAGCATAACAGAGGCCTATTTCTTCATAATCTCAGTGATACTATTTAATAAATATTAGCACTTGAAAACATCATCACCCATTCTGGGAAAGACAAAACTCAAGAGAGAGTAAAATGAGCAGTTGATGCTAGGGATTTAGAGAGAGGGTATAGGGATGAGTAGGTGGAGCAAATGGATTTTTAAGAAAGTAATGAAATTCTGTATCATACTGTAATTGTGAATGCAAGACATTAAGTATTTATCAAAACCCATAGAACTTTCAAGCACAAAGAGTGAAGCTTAATGAATGCAATTTAAAAAAATTATTTAAGGAGCTGGGATCCCAGGAGGGAAAGCAGACTATGACAAAGAATCTAACTGTATGACAAATGCCTGAAGCAACCACATTGAAGGGAGTGTGACGGGAGGTGCTGGCATAACTTTGGAAATAAATGGAGTCTGCAAGACAAAAGGCAGAAGGAACTGTACATAAGGACTGTACTCTAGTTGATAAAGTTGTTTCCCACAGGAATACAGGTTAACAATTCTGACACTGCTATACATGTATACTAGAGTTGAAGAATTAAGTAAATGGATATAAGTTGGTGAAAGTCATGTTTCTCACTGTTGGAGTGGGAGTTTACAGATAAGCCAGGGCAGGAAGCTAGATGATCCATATGGCGATGAATCAGAGCTGGGGACATCAGTATGAACTCAATGTTTAGCTTAATATGGATACAGATGGTTACATACAGAAATATTTATAGATATGTGTATTTACACAGGTTAGTGAGTGTATTCACAGATCATAAGAAAATATGTCAGCTGAGAGGGCCTAGAAGCAAAGACACCCCTGTAGCAAGAAGAACACCTAATGCCCAGATCTTGGTTACTAATACCATTCTCTAATAAAAGGAACCAGAGGTACTTGGAGAAATAGCTGTTTCAATGACTGGGGCAGTAAAAGCACAAGATGAGCCTGGAGCTTTTTATAGTGTCAGATTGCAAGGATGTGCTAAAACAAATGAGTGTATATCAAAGAAGCTCGGAAGCCAAGTGAAAGAGCTTCCAATGGCCAAAGCTGGAAAAATTGGAACAAGATAAATAAATAAAGAATTGAGTTATAACTCAAGGTATAAATCATATATCTCTGAGTGTATACTGATATAAATAAGTGACTGAATAGCTTAATGAATGGGGGAGAAGAGACAAATCTGTCATGCAGCCTAATTCCAAACAATTTACCTAGATGCTCTGCCCTCAAAGAGGGATAGCATAACTCCTCACTCTTTCAGTGTGGGCTGGAGATACCTGACAAAGACTACCTTAGCCAGGTTATCAAGGCCAATACCAATTGTCATAAGTCATGCTGTTAGTATGTACCCTTGATATAATGTGATGAAAATTGCAGTTACCTCTCTGGTCTTACTCCCACAGACCCATAACCTGAGTCAATCCATTAAAAAAAATCAGCTAATAGAGGGACATTCTACAAAATACCTGACCAGTGCTCCTCAAAACTCTCAAGGTAATAAAAAACAAGGAAAGTGCATAACTATCATAGTCAAGAGGAATGTAAGGAGACATGATAACTATATGTAAATGCTACCTGGGTGGGATTCTAGGCTCAAAACAAAGGACATTAGGTAAAACATAAGGATATTTGAATAAAATATAGACTTTAGTTAATAATTTTCTATCAATATTGGTTCATTAGCTGAAACAAATATATCACATTAAGATAAGATGTTACTAATAGGTAAGACTGGGAACTCCAAACTATCTTATTAAATTTTCTGTCAATCTAAAACTGTTCTAAAACATAAAGTCTGTATTTTAAAACATTGCCAATTGGACATAGGTGAAAACTAACACCTTGTTTTTTCTTTATTTGCCTTTCTTTGTTTACTAGTGTGATGAAGCCTTTTTATGTGTGCATGCATTGGCTGCTTATATTTCTTCTTTGAATTGCAAATTTTCATGTATCCCTAAGGTTTTATGGTTATTTATTATGTGGCATTATTGTAGTTCATCTAACCGATACAATCTCATAGAATTATCATAGTCCTATGAAGTATTATTTACCTGTTTTCCATAATTATATAAATATCCATTTTACGGGTAAAGATATGGAGGCTGAAAGAGACTGAATAATTTACCCAGTTCATAGAGTAACACCTAAGCTTTGAACTCACATTGGTCTGACTCCAGAATCCCCTAGGCACCATGTAATACCATGAAGTACCAAGTGATGATGTTGGCAGAGGAAGGGGAGGGAGTCTTGGCAGATAGCTTGGGGTCCAGTGACAACCTTTGAATTCTGGGCTTTAGAATAATGACAGCACCCCAGAGAGGAGCACCACGTAGTCAAACTATATAGGAAGTCTCTGAGTGGCTGATGTGAGAAGTGGCTCCTGAGGGCACCAAATTTCCTGCAGGTCTCTCCAGACTCTGCCGAGAACAGCAAAATGGATTCTCTGGAGTTGTGCCTGGAAGAAATGTAATTGTCAGGGGCCAGAAGGCAGCAGAATTCCATGCCATATATCATCATAATTTAATGTTGAGCCTCTTAAAACTGAAGCCAGGAAGGAGAACCTTCCTTCCCCAGAGTGCGTTAACAGCATCCAGGCTGCAGGGCCCTCCACTCGCCAGTACTTGCCTTTGCAGGGCTTGACCTCTAGGACCTGGGATGTAAAGGGCCAAAGATGTGGAGGTTCATAGCCACTAGTACTGATAGATCTCCGATGAGTGGAGGAACACCAGGTTTCTCCGTCTCACACTGAATTGGATAAAACGACATGGACACATGTGGAGTGGTTTTAAGGAGCAAAAAGTTTAACAGGCAAGACAGAAGGAAGGAAGAAGAAAACAGCTCCCCCTTAAGAGACAGTGGGAGGGGGTACTTGAACAAAGAGAAAACCCGTGTGTGGAACAAAAGTGGCTGCTTATATGAGGACGTTGGAGGAGGTGGTGTCTGATTTGCATAGGGCTCAGGGGATTGGTTTGACCAGGTATGTCACTCATGTAGCCCGTGAAAAACCTGGCCTTCCCACCCTAGCCTTTTAATATGCAAATGAAGGACGCCATGATGTTCTACACACATGGGGTTATGTGGAGGCAGCCATGTTGCCAGGCACATGTGAGGGCAAGGGCAAGAAGAAGGCAGTGGGAATCGCCACGTATGGGTGGACCCAGTTTCTAATAGTCGGCATTTGCATATCAAAGGTTGCCCCCCCCCCCCCCCGCTCCCCCACCAAGAGCTGGGGCTTTCCTGCTAGACAAGAAATTTTCTGAGGCTGCTTTAAAAGAAACGAAAACTTCCCAAGGACCCCTTTTCCTATCTGGCTAAAATAATTTCTTAATAACTCCTATAACAGTACCTGCCAGCTTAATGCTTGACCTCAAGGAGTTGGGATGATAGCCAAAGAGTCTAGGCTTAAGGAACTAAACTTGACCTCTGACTTGGCTGCTTGGTCCTGTGCAACCTTGGGCAAGTCGACTCGCCTCTCTGGTCCTTGGTTTGTTCATAACAAAATGAGGACCATAGTTTTGCTCTACTGACCTCACCGAATGTTTCAGTGGATAAATAATAGTACTGATGGCTAAGAACAACTTCATGCTCTCTTTCGACCTGCACCTTGCATGCATCATCTTGTTAAATATACACAGAAAACTTTTTAGGCATGTATTCATCTGATCCTCATTTTGTGGACAGGAAAACTGGTCCAGAGAGATGATGTCGCTTGTCTGAGGTCACCTGGCTTGCAAAGATTAAATTTAAACTTAGAGCTCATCCCAGTCGCCAGAGACTTATGTTACTAATCAAATTCCAACATGATGCTAGACGGAAAAAATGCTGCAAGGAACAGACTTCTGGGGAAGAAATTACGGGCTGGCTGGGGAAGCTGGACATGTGGGGTGTGGCCAATAGCTGGAACTTGGTATTGATTGCAGGGTGGGTGTGCATGCGGAGGGAGTTTAGAGGAACAAGGTGGTTGAGGACAAGGGGTGGAGAGAGAAACAAGCATGACTGAAGAAGACTGGCAGAGAGGGAGAAGGGAGAGGCATGGCAACGTCCAGAAGAAATGGAAATCTAGGGAAGGCAGAGACACCAGAAGGGGATTTTTAGGGAGCTTTGCTCTTGGATATGCTTTGTAATCTCCACTCTCTGGGCCCCATTAAACCATCAGTAAAATCCAGAGTTTTTTGTCAATGCCTTCAGAAGTGCATCCAAGTTTACTTTGGGGATTTAACAGCTTAAGAGACTGATCATGGGGTGAGCAGAGCCCAAGAAGCAGCTCAAGGCTAAGGGCCACACCCACTCTCCTTCCCCAGCCTCCTCGGCCTGCGCCTACGTTGGGGCCCAAAGCTGTCCCAGGGATCCCCAAGGCTGCAGCTTCCATGTGCCTCACTTTGGGGCCACAGAGGAGACAGCTTTTTACAGGCGGTAACCATGCAAGGTGTAGGAGTCTGGCTAGATCCTGGGAGAGATAACTTCTCGAATATATGTTAGTGCTTTAAATCGAGGCAGAATCATCCTTCTCTCTCCTTCCCCTCCTTTCTACCTCATTTTTTCTTTCTCTTTTTCTCATTTCTCTCCTTTCTCTCTCTCTCCTTCCGTATTCCCTTGTTGCTCATCCAGCCCTCCCTCCATGTTCCAGGGCTGCAGGTTCAACCTCTATGTGCAAGTTACTGTGCTCTGCCCAGGACGCAGGGACGAGTGGCATCAATGTCCTGTGTTCTCTCACACATTTTTTATCTACCCTAGCTGGGCAACAGGGCTAGGAGCTGGAGATTTTACATATATCTCTCACAGCGCCTGGTCCCTGCTCCCCAAGTACCCAAATCCAGTGGGGAGACAAGCATGTGAGCCAATCCCCAAAATACTCACCCCTCCAGATTCAACTCCCCAGGGCAACAAGATTCTTACGAAGTTTCTTTTGTTTTCTCATTTAGTAAAATGCAGTTTTCACCTTTCACTGCCAGACTTAGTTTGTAAGCATCTTTTCCATATTGCTACACAATCTTCATCCTCATTACTTTAATGGCCACATCATATGACACTAAGTAGCCTAATTTACATAATTGGCCTCCTGTTGTTGGACATTAGGTAGTTTCTAGTCTTTTTTTCATCTTTATAGTTTTAAAAGTATTAACTTTTTAGAGCCTGCCCTTTCTAGAGGATCATGGGTCCAATTTTAAATGAGAGAATGGAGGCATGGGTAGAAGGTTTGTGGCTTCCTGCCCTTTTCCCACCCCTGGTGCCACCGTGACTATATAGCATGGCTTGGTGGAGAGTACCTGCTGGCCCCTGTTCTAGGACCCATCACATTGCCTTAGAACTCTCCATGAAAGTGTCATCTCCATCACCTGTGACCTTTTTTCTTCTTTTCTTTTGTTAGAGACAGGGTCTCGCTATGTTGCCCAGGCTGATCTCTAACTCCTGGGCTCAAGAGATTCCCCCGCCTCAGCCTCCGGTGTAGCTGGGAGTACAGGTGCACATCACCATGCCTGGCAAGACTGTGTCTTTTCAATGGCCTTTTCATCTCTATGTCCCCAGTGCCTGATACAGGGAAGCCCTCTCAGAAATGAAGGGAAGGAAATAAAGAAAAGGAGGAATAAAGCCAGGGAATGGTTTCCTTTCTCATTCAGGCCACCTCTCATTACTAGGGCCTGAGACTGCTGAAGGGCATTAGTGACTGAACATGTTGACATTGTGTAATTTATTAGCCTGAACTGTTCAAATTATGCCTTCCCCCCAGGACTTGCCCGCAATGAAAGCAGATTTTATCCCGGGGCCCTGAATAAATACTCAGAGAAACAGAAACCTCATGAATTTTTTAAAGAGCTTATTGAAATCAGGGAAAAACCTGGCGTTCTGAGTCAGAAGTATCCAGTACATCAGCATTCGTTTCTCTTTACCCTCTTTAATCTTTTTTAATCCCCTTGCTTTCCAGTATTAATCTGTGCTTCTCCCCCCGAATTCCCCTCCATTTTGGATCATCCAGAGAAAAATAACCCACCCACAAGACTCCCACCTCCATCTCCCATCATACTGGCAGGACTGGGGAATGTTGCCCAGCCCCTGTCAAAGGACAGGTCCTGGAACTCCAGAGGTGCCAAGACCCTGTCCCCTGCCTGCACCTGTTTGGGGGTGAGATTAGAGGTGTTGGGATCGTAATGCTGAAGCTCTCGTGTCCTCTTGAGAAGAAAAGCTTCCTGGCTATGAGCGACACCTGAGCTTGTCAACCCCCAAATGTCAGCCTTGCCGAAAGTTAAGCGGTTTACAAGGTCTTGCTGAGAAATTCTGTTTACTAGAAGCTAATAGAAGGTCAGCATTTTCCATTTTGATTTTTTTTCCTTCCCACTGCCTAGGGTCTCAGTAATGTTCCCTTTCTCTGGCATTTTGACACAGTTCCTATAAATTCTGGCAAGGTAGCTAAACACTTTGACTGTATGCTCCCCACAAGCCTAGGAAATACGGGTTGTTGTTATTTCCATTTTATACACAAGGAAACTGAAGCTTGAACAGAGAGGGGTCCTTTGCCCAAAGTCATACACAGCAGCTGATCGAAGTGGCTTCAGGACTTATGTCTGTCTGAATCTGGAGGTCATGAGTCAGTGTGCTATGATTTATTCATTTCTTCTTCTGCTTGGCAAGCCAAGAATGACTCCTCCCCTGCCTCAGGTTCCCCCCTTCCAGTGACTTTTAGAATTGATGTAAACAGCCTGAGTTCTACCTTCCATCTCTGGTTTCCTTCAATTTCCTAGGTTAGAGGTGAGCAAACTATGGTCTAAATTTGTCCCACTGCCAGTTTATGTAAATAAAGTTTTATTGGAACACAGCCATGCTCATTCATTTACATATTGTCTGTGCTTGCTTTCATGGTACAACAGCACAGTTGTGTAGCAAAACAGACACCACATGGACCACAAAACCTGCAATACTTACAATCTGGCTCTTAAAGACAAATTTTCTGACCCCTGGAATCTAGGATAATCATTGCCCATTATCCCAGAATCTAAGGTAATGGATGATAACAACAACAGTAATAAGAATAGATCACATTTATTGAGGGTTATGTGATCTGTAAGAATAGATTATGTTTCTTGAGTGCTAGTTGCTTTCTGTGGAATATCTCATGGAATCCTTCAACAATAGGTCTGGCAGTGCTCAGAGAGGTGAGCCATTTCCCCACAGTCACAGAGCTAGAAAGAAGGGAATCTGGGACTTAAACCTGGAGCTCACTAACGAATAAATTCCAAAGTGCTCTATACTACTAAGGGCATAATGTTCACATACATTGTCTACCCAGTATCTGGCATTTGTGTTACCTGTTGGGATGGCAAGTGATACAAAATGAGTAAAGAAACATCTCTGTTTGTGGGAAACTGTGGGCTTGTGGGAAAGTCAGCCCTCCATGTAGACCAGCATCGAGATGGCTGTCACAGACAACCAAGAGCCCAGAGGAGGGGATTGGGAAAGAGGGCTCCGAGGTGACCCATCACACCCTTAATGGTGAACAGAAATGTCGTAATTGAGATGGAACAGAGAGGCGCATCCCAGGCCACAGGAACAAGTTAAGCAAAAGCTTAGAGCAAAGCAATTTTCATATGCCTGAGTTTAGAGTGAACGGAGGGGTAGGAGAGGATGAAGTGTTGACAGAAATAACAATAGCGGTTTGTTTGGAGTCAGGTGAGAAGAGTCTTGGATGTGAGGCTGAGAACTTTGGAATGTATTTCCTTCCCTTATCTAGAAAGAACCTCGGGTTTCTCATGGCATCCCATTTATTTCTGGTAAGCAGTAGGTCCTCAATAAATGCCTTTAAGAACAGAATGGCATCCCCCAGTAAGAGGGAGTGAGTCTCCTCTTGGCTTCTTCTACAGGATGCTCACACAGCAGCAGATGCTGAGACCTGTCCAGGTGACAGTGACCCATCTGCCTGGGACCACTTCTAGACCTTCTGTAGAGTTACGAATTTGGGGTCAGCTCAATGGGTCTCTGGAGAGGGGTTTTCCAGAAGAGGCTTCTATTTTTCTGTCTATACACAGACGGCAGAGCAGCGGTCTTGTGCCCTTAAGGAACTACACTTCTGTTCTTTTTTTTTTTTTTTTTTTTTTTTTTTTGAGATGGGGTCTCACTCCAACCCAGGTTGGAGTGCAGTGGAGTGATCTCGGCTCACTGCAACCTCTGCCTCCCAGGCTTAAGTGATCCTCCCACCTCAGCCTCCTGAGAAACTGGGACCACAGGCATGTGCCACCATGCCTGACTAATTTTTTGTATTTTTTTGTAGAGACAGGGTTTCATCATATTCCCCAGGCTGGTCTCAAACTCCTGTGCTCAGGCAATCCACCTGCCTTGGCCTCCCAAAGTGCTGGGATTACAGGCATGAGCCACCGTGCTCGGCTGATGCTTGTATTCTTGATCATTCACTTGAGTGGAGCAAAAGAGAGCAGGAAAATCTAGCCTTTGGGGCTCTTCAAATCCCAGCTCTGCAGATTTCGGATTGTATGACCTTGGACAAGTCCTCTAATTTCACAGAGCCTCAGCTTTCTCACCTCTAAAATAGAGATAATTATTCCTGTCTTATGATAAAGCCAACTTTATTTATTTATTTATTTATTTAACAGTCCTGTGGATCATCTGGGGATGGCTCTGCAGGTTAGGAAAGACCCTACTCCCTTTATCTTTCATTCTGGAGCTAGTGGCCTTGCAGGATGTGCCCTTCTAAAGGAAGGGAAGAGAAATCTCAAGACAGCACGTGAAAACACAGGCAAAACTGTGTAAGGCTTAAGCTCAGAAGTGGCCCAGAGTTACTTCAGCATTTCTAAACATTTACTGTTGGCTAACACACGTTGTATGGTCCAGCCCAGTATCAATGGGATAGGAAGGTACACTCCACCCACAGTGAAATGTACTAAGAGTGGAGAAGGAAAAAAATTGTGAGCAAATTGTACCCCTACCACAATTGCCAAAACTCACAGCATGACTGTGGGCCATATGATCCCATTTTCTGCCCAACATTGCCTTCTATGTTTCTCAAGGTTTATCATGTCATTGAAACCCTACCTTATAGGTGGATAAACCGAGGTTTGAGCGCCTTCCCATGGTTTGTCTCCAACCACAGAGGGTTGCCAAAATTAGGTTGGCTATTTACTCTGGACAGCCGTGTCTGTTATTAACCATACTCGTAGTGGTGGGGATGCTGTATCTCTCCTTTCATTTGGGTTCTAACCGGTAGCCTTCAGCATGAATTCCCAGAGGGAGACTAATTTACTGGGGGAATGTGAAGACAGCCACTGTCCTCTCCCACTGTGCCTCCAATGTGAGGCAAAATAACCAAACAGCCCCTATCTTGGATAGAGACCACCAAAATTCCAGTTAGAGGTAGTCAACCCTGCCCATTTTAATTCCTCTGGCTGAAATGTTTATTCTCCCACTGCCAAAACTAAGTTGGCTATTTATTCTGAACAACCATGTCTGTTATTAACCATACTCATAAAAAGGGCTTCCAAAATTATCTCAATACTAGGGACAACTCATTTAGGACACTAGCAGCAACACCACCACTGACAAAATCAGTAAGTGAGCCATGTGGTGTCCACCCTAACCCAAGGGAGTCTGTTGACAAGTTGATGAGTATATTTGGACATAGATAACTTGGGCTTGGCCCAGATTCACTCATCTCTTCAGTAGAGCTTTCCAGAGAGTTCAAATTATTTCCTAATTTGTTCCAGATCCACCATCTTTTGTGGCTTCATTTGGGCATTGAGGTCATCCAGAGATTATTGAGTTGGGCAATGGAGAAAGCAATGAGAGGAAAGAAATTCTTCATTCATTCATTCACTCACTCATACCCTCACTCACTAGTTGCGGAGTGTTTCCAGTGTCCTAGATTCAAAGTTGAAAAAAAAAAAAAAGCAGAAGTCCCACTGGGCTTGCCATTTAGCACACCAGATCCTTCTTAAATGCATTGTTTCAAAATAAATAGTTGGCTTCTCGTCAGACATTGCACTGCAGATGATTGGTTCCAGCTAATCACAGCAATACTATTCCCCTTGCCAATGATTGGTTTAAGGGTTAGCATGTGACCTGGTTCTGTCCAATGAGAGGTGAGAGAAAATTTGTTAGGGGCTTTTGGGAAACTTGCCATTACTAAGAAGAAGGCGTAAGAAGGGAGGGATACTCTTTACTGCTTGTAGCTATGTATTAATAAATGTGACACCTGCAATTCAGACAGCCATCTTACTATATGCCAGAAAAGGAAGCTAACTCTGAAGATAGCAGTATTGAAAGATGAGGGAGCTACATCTTCCTTGACATCGTTGTGCTGCTAAATCTATACCCCAAAGGGGACTCTGCCTGGTGGACCTCCTGTTATGCAAGATGATAGATTCTGTCAATGTTTTGGCCAGTGCGTGTTGGGGTTTCTTTTACCTGTACCCCAAAGCATCCTAATGGGTGCAGCGCTATTACTGTGGAACCCTGATTTATCTCTGAAGGAGCAGGTGGACAGAGCACTGGATTAACTTGTTTAGAATCACACAGCTGGGAAATGACTGATTAGGCTGTGAGCCCAGGACTCTGCCTTCAGTCCACCTCCCTCCCCAGGGGTGACTTACAGCTAGCCTCTAAGAATGAGCAGCCAGAAAATAACAGTTACTGAGTACTATCTAGTTTTTGGGCAGTGCTGGGTGCTGAGTGGTCGGGAGCTGATGCATAAAGAAAGAGAAGACGGTGAAGATCTTGATGGAACACAACGTGGCAGCTGGGATTGAGGGATCATGCATGTGGGCTCTGGGCTAAAGTCCCTGCCCCATCTGCCCACACTCTTCATAACCCACACCTGCTTTACCTGGGGTAATCCTGTACAGTGGAGGACACTTCCGGTTTGGATTCGGGTAGACCTGGTCCAAATCCTGTCTCGGTTACTTCCTAGGTGTGCGGGGTTGGGCATGTCCTGTCACCCTTCTTGGCTTTGGTCAACTCATGCTGGGTCACAGTCAGGAGCAGACATGCGGCGTGACATTGCCGGACACCTAGAAGGTGCTGAATGAAGGATGACTGTGGGCACAATCATGACAGTTAGGACTATCCAGAAACCTGAGAGTCATATGGCAGGAGGGCTAATCTTAGTCCCTGCTCTGCTATGATGGGTTGTGTGACCTCAAGCAATTCCTGCCTTCTCTGGGCCATTCGCTTATGCCCCTGATCCTCGGAAATTGTGGGATTGGGCTTGATAGCCATTTTCAAACTCTGTTCCATGGAGATCTAGAGATTCCTTGGCTGTATAATGAGGATAGGGACACAGGAGGAGAGACTGAAACCATCCCCTCCACACCCAACCTCATCTTCAACCATAGCAGCTCTTTGCTATTTCTTTCATGAGTCTAGGACTTTCTGTACGATGTTATTTGGAGAGAGATTCTGCTGCTATATATATGCAACTTGAAAACCCTCTAGATAGATCTCTACATTCCTTCTAGTTATTTAGTAGTTAATAGCATAAGCTTTGGTGTTCATTGCATCCAGATTTGAATGATGACTCTGCCGTTTATTATGTGTTAACTTGGGCAAGCCGATAACTTCCTGGCTCACAGTCTCCACATCTACCAGCCATTCAGGAGAACGTCCTTTCCCCTCATCTCCACCAGCAGGAGGTGTTAGAACTCTTTTTAATTTTTGTCAGTTCAATGGGTATAGAATAATATTTCATTGTTACTTTAGTTTGCACTTGTCTAACTTCTAGAGAATTGGAGCATCTTTTCCTCTGATTCTTGGCCATTTTGATTTCTTCCATAAATTCCTATTCTTTGCCCATTTTCTGTGGGGCCATTTGTCATTTTTCTGGTCTGTTTGTGAGAACTCTTTGACATCATATGGACATTATACTAATATAGCATGGATTTTATCTTTCACCTGCATTACAGTTTTTTTAAGAACCATCTTTTGTTCCTTTTAAAATGTTGCTATAATGGTATTACTGCACTGTCACGTGAGGATTAGATAGCCTAATGTATATAAGCACATAGTAGAAATCCTGGTAATTTCAATACAGCATTTCTATTATTTACAGGCTTTGAGTGTGGGTACATGGTTCTGGAGTTACCTGAATGTGTGTTGTTGATGGAGTTAGTTAAAATGACAGTGCCAGGCAAGGAGGTACTTGTGATCTATAATGTAAACACCTAGGAGAAGGGGAAAAAAGAATGTCACTGTCTTGTGTCTGCTCATTTGGGAGAGTGAGCAGAAGCGCTTGTCAGCAGAGTCGAGTCTAATGTGCATGTGACTGATGAACTGTGGAATTGACAGGGCTCCATTATTTACTCTGTGATAGGAAAAAGTATACTCATGCTTGAGAGCTCATGAGCAATGGAGATACCAAATAAATCAGAATAATGACTGAGGGGTGACACCCATGAGTCAGCTCCACCAGCAAGTCCTGCCCAGAACATCCCTTTTGCCAGAATCAGACTCCACCAAACATAGGTCAGCATTAAGGGCTCCTCTTCTGTGCAGTCAGCGTGAACAGGTCCAAACTTTTATCAATTATTTACTGCTATGAAATGCTGCATAACAAACAACCTCAGTGACATTAAACAATAAACACTTATTGATCATTGATCATTTGTGACTACTGGGTGGTCAGCAAAGCAGCTATGCTGATCTTGACTGGGTGCACTCACATGTCTGGGGGCAGTCGGCTATCAGCCTGTCCTTCCATGCATTATGTTGTCAGTGGCTTATGCATCAGAATTACCCATGAAGAATATTAAAATACAGATTCCAGGGCCTCATTCCTAAAGAGTCCATTTTAAAAGGTCTGAGGGTAAGCTTAGGAAACTGTGTTTTAACTAATTGCAGATCCATGCTATTTCTATTTTACACTGGGACTTCTCGGTGCTAATTTTGGGTGACAGTGGTGGATAAAGAAACATTGTCAACAGTGATGACTGGAGTCTCCTCCACATGTATCTCATCCTCCAACAGGCAGCCTGGTGTGGTCTCATGGGAGAGGTATAGGCACCCACTTTTTAAGCCTCATCTTGGGTCATGCTTGCTAAAATCTCATTGGCCAAAGCAAGTCACTTGGTGGAGCCAACTTGAGAGAGGAGGAGCATTACAGTCACATGGGCAAGGACATAGGCACAGGGACAGATGAAGAATTGGGGCCACCACTGCAATCTACCACAATGGTTCAGCATGGAGGTTAAGATTACAGGATATAGAAACAGCTGGACCTGGACTTTGGTGCCTCTTCCTGCTGGGATTTTCATACTTCCTCCCATTTCTCCCCTAGGTGCCTACACCAAAGCCTTTTCCCGTAAGGCTTTGCTCTCGGCTAGCTGCCACAGTCAGAGATTTTCTTCAGTGTTGCCTCCCAACTGCCAATGCCCTCTCTCTCTTTCAAGGATATTTGCATTAAAAGAGTCTTACTGCTTTTTCTGATTACAAGGGAATATGTGCTCTTTGCACAATGCTCAAGCCATACAGATAATCATGACCTAGCTCCATCACCCCTCTCTGAGTGGGAATTTTCCACTGTCAGTATGTTCTTTTTCATACAGACTTTTTCTTTGCCTATTTGAGATCTCTTTGTCAAATATGGGGTCAAGCTTTAGACAAGTTGCTTTATTCACTTAATATCAACAACAACAGCAACACTGTGTGGGTGTCTTTCCATGCAGGATGTTGTCACTGGCTTTTACATCAGAATTACCTATGGAGGAGAACATTAAAATACAGACTCCAGGGCCTCATTCCTAAAGAGTCTGTTTTAAAAGGTCTGAGGGGAAGCTCAGGAAACTGTGTTTTAACTAATTGGAGCTCCACACTATTTGTATTTTAACAGGGTCTCCTTGCCTGGTGCTAATTTTTGGTGACAGTGATGGAAAAAGAAATACCCAGTGAAGGGAGTGATTAGCGCAGGGGCTCCAAGCACTGTGATAGCCGCTAGGGGAGACACTTGTGATTGAATCACATCACCTCAGGGGGCCAGTTTTTTTTTGTTTGTTTTTTGTTTCTTTTTTTTATTTTTCAGAGAAAGGAGACTGTATTGACTTGCACCTTCAGTTTCTTTGGAACCTGTCCAGGTATGGCCCCGTAAGTAACCAAATAACCACTAACCTAGGTTCAGGAATTTCCCAGCTGTGTGTTCTTAGGCAAGGGACTTCACCTCTCTGGGCCTCAGCCAGTTCATCATAACATGGAAATCATAATATCCACCTGGCTCAGCAGTTGAGAAAAGCAATGAGTTCACACCTAGAAAGAGCCCACCCAGCTGGCCTCATAATAGGTCTTCCATAAACAGTAGCTTCCCTTCCCCCATGCGATGTGGTGAGCAGGGACTTACTGGGCAGTCTGGGAAAAGCCAGAGAGCCCCCGAGGACAGCAGCAGCCATGCCATGTGCCTTGATGAGTTAATTATGGAAAATTAGGGCAAGTCAGGTTTCTGCCTTCAGGAATCTCCTATTAAGGTCTGGATGATAGTGCAGGATTTTAATAACTCTCCAGGGGCTGGTGACAAGGAAGGTTCTTCCTGCTGGGCTGATAAGTAGGGGAACCAATCAAAATGTACAAATACAGCCAAGAAAGAGGCTCGGGGAGGCCTTTGGAGTGGACCACAGCCTTTTCTGGATGTTTGCTGGCTGGGGACTCTGATCAGACAAATTCTGAGTGGGGCATTCCAGGTCTCCTGACATCAGAATTATGTGTGGTAGATGCAGAAATGGTGGCAATTTGCTGCCCTTCTCTGTATTTACTCTTTTTCCAATGTGCTTTTGCAGCCCTCTCATTGAAAAGTGGAGTCTGGTTCCTGAAAAATCCTTGAATCTAAGCTGGCCTTATCACTTGTATTGGCCTATAGAGTATAGTGGAAGTGACTCAGAGAGTTCCTAGGGGTTCTCAGGAGTCAAGAGGACTAGAACACTTCTACTTTCTCTTTTGAAATCTTGCCCAGCTACTATGGGGACAACCCCAGGATATCTGCTAGCAGATAAGAGCTTGTGGAGGGGAGCTCAGTCATTTCAGACAAGGTCATTCTATATCAGCCTATGGCCAGTTGACCCTCAAATACTGAAAACCCCACCAAGACAACGAAGCCACCTACCTGACCTCCAGCTGTACTCAGACACTTAAGTGAGTTTAGCTGAGACCAGAAAAATCACCAGCTCACCAACAGACAATGAGCAAAATAATTAAAGCAATGAGTTTGGGGATGGTTTATTAGGCAGCAATGGCTAACCAATACAGTGTATGTGTGACGATAATGGTATAAAAATAATACAACTCTAGTAACAATAAAGGCTGCATTTACCCCATTCCAGAGACTTTGCTAAGGATTTTATGCCCATTAGCTTATTTAATTCTCATCAAGCCCTGCAAAGTAGGTGTTATCTTCATTTTATAGAGGGGGAAATGGAAACTCAGGAAGTTTTATGTGCATTGTCTAATTTCAGTTGCTTTCAAGTGGGGGAAGGCAGGACTGGAACTCAGGTCTGCACTGCCTCCTAAGGGGCCTCACCTGATCTGTATAGAAGCCATTCTCAGAGTAAGGCCAGAATCCTCAGCCTGGTATATAGCAGACCTCCATGACCTGGCCCCTTGTGATTCTTTCCCTCTACCTTAGTTGACCTTCTCTCCTTCACCTGGAAAACTCTTATTCATCCTTCAAAACCCAGCTCAGGTTTCCCCTATATTAGCTCTTAGAAGCAACTAATATAAATCCTTTCTTCAAATTGGCAGAACTAGTAAGAACATTTAATGTTTCACATGAATGGAACTTCAGAAGTCAAGAGGGGAGGAGAGTCCTGGTTTGGTCAAGGCAGCAGTTCAATGGTGTCCTCAAGCATCCCTGTCCCTTCCATGTATGTACTCTGGAGGTGTTATGCCAGGCAGGTTTCAACGTGGATGTAGCAAACCTGACATCATAACCAGACCCAGAACATGCAGAGAAACCAGATTTTTTTTTCTTATGCCTTGTTTTTGGAACCAAGGAAACTTTCCCGGCAGCCTCCTAACAGACTGTCCTTCATGTGTCCTTGGCCAGGATTGGTCTCATGTCCTTCCCTGAACCAATCACTGGCAGAAAGGAGAATTGCATCACCATCATTGGCTTTGACACATCCAATCACTTTTGATGGAGTAGATCTGGGAGAATCAACCAGTATGGTGTGATATATCTCCCCTAGGAAGCCACCTCGGACTTTCCAGCCTGGATCAGGTGACCCCACTGGGTTCTCTCAGCTTCCCATGCTTGTCTCCATCACAACTCTGGCCACCATGTGTTATAAGGGTGGCTTTCCTGGTAAGACTTCCCCTCCGATTTGGCTCTTCCTCTCAGTCTCATCCATTGTTTCCTGTGCCACCCTAATTCTCCCTACACTCAGAATTACTTGCCCAAAATCCCTCTTCCCCCATAGAACTTGAAGTTCATAAGAGCAAGTGTTATTTCTGCCTCCTTTACTGCTGTGTTCCCAGCCCCTAGAAGAGTACCAGGCCCATCAAGAAGCATAATAAATATTTGTTTTGAATGACTTCTTTGCTAGGACTAGGACTCTGAATCAGGGATGGGAGATGCTGGAGAAGGAACTATAAGATAAATATTGAGCTGTCACATTCAACGGAACCTTATGCAAATTTCCACCAGGAGTGGTCCGAGGCTCAGAAAATGCCCACTGAGCTGAGCCACTGGGCATTACACCCATTAATGGCTCTGAATAATACCCAACAACTGTGGGGTGTTCATGGCTCACAAATGACCTGCCCACACATTAGACCTCCTGCCTCTCTAGGCGACCCCGTGTAGGAGGCTCATTTTATAGATGACACCTGGGGAGGTGAAAGGACAGGCTGAGAGGCTTAGTTGTCAATTCATAGTGCCAAGGCTTGAATCCTGAGTCTGCCTTGACTGCAAACTGGTGCTCTCTCCTCTTCATACAAATACCAACGGGTTTCTAGCCTCCAACTCTATCACCATCGAGGTTACTCTCCTTGGGATAATGTGTAACTGTCAACCGCCCCCCATATTGGATTTTGTGGGAGAAACTTTTTTTTCTCCCTTATAAAGAAGTTTATTAAACATATGGTATTTTGTACTATTACCCATCAAATATTCACTCTCTCCTTCCTGGTCAGTGGGCAGAGTATATTTCCTCACTCTGCTGATGTTGGGCTTAGCCATGTGACTTTATTTGGCCATTGGAATGTGGGCAAAAGTGATGATGTGGCATTTCCAGGCAGTAGCCTCTATTAGGCATGACAAATTTCTGCCAATTCTTGCTTTCTCCTAAGAGAATAGCATGCTACATATTGCAGGAGGGCCGGATGCAGTGGCTCACTCCTGTAGTCTCAGCACATTTGAGGACAAGGTGAGAGGATTGCTTGAGGCCAGGAGTTTGAGACCAGCCTGGGCAACACAGTGAGACTCAGTCTCTACAAAACAATTAGGAGCCAGTCCTATAGCCTTGATTGCAAAATGACAAGACACATGGAGCAGACCCAAATCTGATCCACAGCTAACCTGCAGGCATAAGCAAGAAATAACTATTTGCTGAGGACCACTGAGATTTTGGGGGTGTTTGTCTCATAGCTTTATCATCACAAAAGCCGACTGATACAACCACTCTGTGCCTGATTGTGCAGAGTATTTTGC
This sequence comes from Homo sapiens, assembly GCF_000001405.40. Taxonomy (NCBI): domain Eukaryota; kingdom Metazoa; phylum Chordata; class Mammalia; order Primates; family Hominidae; genus Homo; species Homo sapiens. Next base: position 108,105,288 of record NC_000012.12, read on the forward strand.
ATACATTCGTTCATTCGATCACCACAATAACCTCTGAGGTACTATGAAGTCCTCTGCTGATCTATAAGTCCTTTTGTCCATTCCTGCGTCACCAGAGCCCAGCACACTCCTTGGCATATAGTATATGCACAAGAAATATTTTTAGATGAATTAGTAAAGTAGGAACCATGTGGCATTGGCCTGATTTGTGAACAATGTCTGTGTAATAATAATGCCCTACTCTGTGCCAGGTACTGTTAGGTGCTTATTTAATTAATACGTTATTTCACAAATGTTTTTTGAGCACCTGCTTCATTCTGGGAATACAGCAGTGAACAAAACGGGCAAAACCTCTGCCCTCTTGGAGCTGATATTCTTACTGGGGAGAGAGAGACAACACATAAAATATATAAAACTGTAATGTAGTGTGGTTAGTAGTAAATGTTATGAAAAATAAAATAGAGCAGGGAAAGGGAATGACAAGTGCTGGGGTGGAGTCGCAGTTTCTAACAAGGCAGTGCTGAAAGGCTGCACGGAGGAAGTGGCATCTGAACAAAGACTAGGGAAATGTGACTGTGAGAGTCAAGCAATGTCTGGGGAAAGATTGTCCAAGGCAAATGGAATAACAATTCTTACATCCACCTTATGAATGAATAAAGGGGCTCACAGGCATAGAAACATAAGTACTGCATGATCTCACTTCTATGTAGAATCTAAAAAAGTAGAATTTATAGACGTAGAGAGTAGGATGGTGGTTACCAGAGGCTGGGTGGGGTGGGGTGGGATGGGGAGATGTTCAAAGGGTGCAAAGTTTCCGTTTTACTGAAGGAATAGGCTTTAGAGGTTTATTGTACAGCATGGTGGCTATAGTTAATAATAATGTATATTTCAAAATTACTCAAGCAGTAGATTTTATTTATTTATTTTTTGAGACAGGGTCTTTCTCTGCCACCTGGGCTGGAGTGCTGTTACATAATCCTAGCTTACCACAACCTTGAACTCTTGGCTCAAGCGATCCTCCCACCTTAGCCTCCCAAATAGCTGGGACTACAGGCACACACCACCACGACCAGCTAACTTTTTAACTTTTTACAGTGACGAGGTCTTGCTATGTTGCCCAGGCTGGTCTCAAACTCCTGGCTTCAAGTGATCTTCCTCCCTCAGCTTCCCAAAGTGTTGCAATTACAAGTGTGAGCCACCATACCCAGCCCTAAAAGAGTTGATTTTAAATGTTGCCATTAAAAAAAAAAAAAAGATAAGTATATGGGATTATGAATAGGTTAATCAGTTTGATTTAATCATCCCACAATGTAAGCCTTGTGCTCCATATATATACAATTATTATATGTTAACTAAAAATTTTTTTAAAATAGAAAAAAGAGGGACTCAAAGGAGCAGAGCTGGGATGTGGACCCAGGAAGCCCAGTCCCACTGCTTGTGCCCTTAAGCACTTTGCAGATGGTCTTATCAGGACTGCCCTGACTTAGCAGTTGTTTTGGGAATCCACCCACTGATCCTGGGGCCTCTACCCTGAGCCCTGAGCTGTCCAGTCATCAGATTTCAGCTAATGACAATGGGAAACCACTTTGGTCCCTAATGGATTCAGCATTCCCCAAACGCTCCATCATATTAGCCATGGAAATGGGCTCTGTCTCATCCAGGGAATTGCTTGATGAAACAAGCAGGCACTCAACCTCTCTAAGCCAAAGGTGATTTAAAATATTGCAGGAGGGCTGGGCACCATGGCTTACATCTGTAATCCCAGCACTTTGGGAGGCCAAGGTGGAAGGATTGCTTGAGACCAAGAGTTTGAGACCAATCCAGGCAACATAGCGAGACCCCATCTCTGCAAAATAAATTTATTTAATTACCTGGATGTGGTAGTTGCATACCTGTACTCCCAGCTACTTGAGAAGCTGAGGCAGGAGGATCCTTTGGGCCCAGGTGTTTGAAGCTGTAGCAAAGTGGGATGGCACCACTGCACTCCAGACTGGGCAACAGACCAAGACCTTGTCTCTAACAAATAAAATAAAATAAAAATGTAAAATATTGCAAGAGCCAGCCTTGGATGAGGCTTATGCAAACAGTATCTTTGATTTCATGGGGGTGGGGATGGTGGTCCTCCCCAGTGACTGTGTGTTCCCGCTGTGGGCAGCAAGTGGAGAACAAGCTCCCCAGGCTGGGCTTGTCTTTGACCTCTTGTGGAACCAGTTTGACCTGGAGAGACAGGGTGCGAACACTGTCTCCAGCAGCTACGGTCAGAGAGGCAGACAACAAGGCTCCAGCCCTTTTTTGGAGATGTTAGTTCTGTTTCCTGCTGGTATGCTCTGGAAGATTCCCTTCCTACCTTCCTTTCTTCCTATTTCTCCTTGTCTTTTTTTTCCATTACCAATCTGACCTGTGAGTGGAAAGGTTTTCGTCTAACACCGTGTTGTTCCATACAGCAGCCATGAGCCAGTTGTGGCTACAGAGGACTTAACATGTGGCAAGTCCAAACTGAGATGATCTGTGAGGGTCACATAAACACGGGATTTTGCAGACCTAGTACAAAAAAAGGTATATAATAGCTCATTCATATTTTATATTTATTTCCTGTTGAAATGATCATATCTTCGATATGTTGGGTTAAATAGAATATTTAAAATATTGTAATATTATTTCACCTGTTTTATTTTTCTTTCTTAATGTGGCTACTGGAAAGTTTAAAATTACATGTGTGTGTTCTCAGTTATAAGTGGGAACTAAATATTGGATACACAGGGACAGAAGGATGGAAACGGCAAACACTGGGGTTTCCAAGAGAGGAGAGGGAGGGTGTGGGGTAAGGGCTGAAAAACGACCTACCGGGTTCTATATTCACCACTGGGTGACAGGATCCTTAGAAACACAAACCTCGACATTACACAATCTACCCATGTCACAAACCTGCACGTGTACCTCCTGAATCTAAACTTTAAAAAATTAAATGAGAAAAAAATCAAGGTATGCACTTTAAATATATATGTATATATAAAAAATTTTATATGTTAGTGATAGCTCAATAAAGCTGTTAAAATAAAAATAATAAGTATTGTGACTCCTATCATATTTCTATTGGAAAGCATAGGCCTAGAACCTGTTTCTCATCACCCCACATTTTTTTTTTTGAGACAGAGTCTCGCTATGTCGCCCAGGTTGGAGTGCAGTGGCACGATCTCAGCTCACTGCAACCTCCGCCTCCTGGGTTCAAGCGATTCTCCTGCCTCAGCCTCCCAAGTAGCTGGGATTACAGGCACGTTCCACCATGCCTGGTTAATTTTTTTTTTTTTTTTGTATTTTTAGTAGAGACGGGGTTTCACTGTGTGGCCAGGGTGATCTCAATCTTGTGATATCATGATCCACCCGCCTCAGCCACCCAAAGTGCTGGGATTACAGGCATGAGCCACCGCACCCAGCCCACATTTTTAAATTAATATGTTTTTCTTACAACACATCAGCCAGGATAACTGTAACAGGTTAAATTCTGGGTGATTATAAAAAAAGAAAATAGGTCAGGTGTGGTGGCTCACACCTGTAATCCCAGCACTTTGGGAGGCCGAGGTGGGCAGATTGCTTGAGTCCAGGCATTTGAGACCAGTCTGGTCAACATGGCAAAACCCCCATCTCTACTTTTAGTATTTTTAATTTTTGCATTTTTAATACCAAAATTAGCTGGGCTTGTGGGTGCAGGCCTGTAATCCCTGCTACTCGGGAGGCTGAGGCAGAAGAATCACTTGAACCTGGGAGGCAGAGGTTGCAGTGAGCTGAAATTGAGCCACTGCACTTCACCCTGGGGGATGGAACAAGACTCTATCTCAATAAAATTAAAATAAAATTAAAAAGAGAAAGAAAGTGGAAAGGAACTAACATTTTGAGGGTAGCTACTCTCTATCCACTTGAGTGCTATATGATTTACTTAGGTCAGGGTTTCTCAAAAGCAGCACTATGAATATTTTTTCCAATTTTTAAAGTTGTGGTAAAGATACAGCACATAAAATTTACCATTTTGGCCATTTTTAAGTGTACAGCTCAGTGGCAGTAAGTACATTTGTAATGTGCAACCATCACCACCATCTGTCTTTAGAACTCCTTTCATCTGGGATGAAAGAGATGAGACTCTATACCGATTAAACAATACCTCCTTACTCCCTTTTCCCCCCAGCCCCTGACAACCATCATTCTGCTTTCTGTTTCTACAAATTTGACTATTTTTGGTACCCCATATAAGTGGAATCATACAGTCTTTGTCTTTTTGAGACTGACTTATTTCACTTGGCATGACGTCCTCAAGACTCATCCATGTTGTAGCATGTGTCAGAATTTCCTTCGTTTTTAAGGCTGAATAATATTCTATTCTATGAATACACCACGTTTTGTTTGTCCATTCATCTGTCATGGAGACTTGCATGGCTTCACCTTTTGGCTAATGTGACTCATGCTGCTATTAACATGCATATGCAAATATCTCTTCCAGGCTCTGCTTTTAATTCCTTTGGGTATTTGTCCATAAGTGGAATTGCTGGATCATATAGGCACTATTGCCATTTTGTACCAGATAATTCTTTGTTGCTGGGGCAGAGGGATGGATGTCTTGTGCATTGCAGGATGCTGAGCAGCATCTCTGACTTCTATCCACCAGATGTCGGTACCATTGCCCCAGTTGTGACAACCAAAAATGCCTCCAAACATCGTCCAGTGTTCCCTGGGAACAAAATCAGCCCCATTTGAGAAGCACTGATATAATTTATTCCTCAAATCCTCACATCTCTGTGAGGTGCTATTATTATCCCCATGTTGCAGATGGGGAAACTGAAGCACAGAGAGGTAACGTTCCCTGCACAAAGCCACACAGCTGCTAAAGTGGTGAAGCTGGGATTAGAACCCATGTCTTTCTGACTCCAAAGGCTGTATGTCCACATGCAGGGAAACCCAGAAATTCTGTTGCACTTTTGGGAATATTGACCCAATATACTCACTTTAATTAGAGGTCAGAGTGAAAGTCATGGCTGAAAAGCAAACAGGGTGAGCAGGAGGTAGTCGAGCTTTGGCTGGGAAGGACGCCTCCTTTGGGGAGGATGTGGGTCTGGATGGTGAGATAAGATCATTTTATATCCCTTTAAATGTTTCCACCATGGCCACCACGTTGTACAACTCCAGGTGTCACCACTCTCTGGAGCTTGTGCCATAGGAGGTGTTGTTTCTAGTCTTTTTTGTTTGTTTGTTTGTTTGTTTTTTTGGTTTGGACTCTCACTCTGTCTCCCAGGCTGGAGTGCAGTGATGCTATCTGGGCTCACTGCAACCTCTGCCTCCTGGGTTCAAGTGATTCTCCTGCCTCAGCCTCCTAAGTAGCTGGGATTACAGGCACGCACCACCAAGCCCGGCTAATTTTTGTATTTTTAGTAGAGACAGAGTTTCATCATGTTAGTCAGGCTGGTCTCGAACTCCTGACCTCGTGATCCACCCACCTCGGCCTCCCAAAATGCTGGGAATACAGACATGAGCCACCGTGCCTGGCCTGTTTCTAGTTTTAATATGAATAGTGGCCTGAAGTTGGGCAGCATAGTAACCCTGTCTCAGGACAGCTTTGTCAGTGGAGAAGGACAAAGACTGAGGAATCCACAGAGAATGAGACCTGGAAGTTCATTACCAATGAGATTGTCTTGAGCTCAAGGATGGTGCATAAGTCACAAAAATCACATGGGAAAGAGAAGTGGGCCACTGGACATGAAATCTGGCAGCCAACCAATAACTCATTCATTCACTCACTCCTTCACTCATTCATTCACTCACTCATTAGTTCATTCGGTCATTCAAACATTCAACTATAGGTTCTTTCTGCCTATTTCATAGGGAAGGAGTTTCCATAATGGTTCTGCAACTCCTGGACTTCAGAATCAGATCTGGGTTCAAATCTTAGTTCTGCTGCTGTGTGACCTTGGACAAGTTATTTAACATCTCCTAGCCTTCCTTGCGTCAGCCTTAAAATGGGGACAGTGGAATCAGCACCCTATTATGGTTGTCAGAAGAGATGAAAATAGAATGTATACAAATTGCTCAGCACAGTCACAGAGACACAGTAAGTGCCGATAAGTGGATTGAGCACCTAATGTGTGCCTGGTCCCATGCTGAGAGTGTGTGTGTTAGTGTTTGTGTGTGTGTGTGTGTGTGTGTGTGTGTGTGTTCAGAGCTGGGCTGTCCTCCAGGGCAACGTGGGCTTCCTCACTAGGTCATAGACTCCATTTTCAGGGAATATGAGTTCTCAGGGTTACACATGAGCACAGCTAGTGTGGACTGGTTGGATATCTGGGGTATATACTCGAGGGCCCTAGGAGGCCTGACTCCTCTACCACAGGTCCCTTATGGGCCATGCCTTCCTTGACCCCCATGAACCAGGGTGGGTAAGACAACAGAAGCCGGGTTACACTGCTGCCTTGGACATTACCATTAAAACTCTCACCTTCTCCCCTGAGCCCACCAGCTGAGCAGGCAGAACCAGGCTTTGAGAGGACCTTAAAGCAGTAGGTCTCTACCCTGACTGCAAATTGGAATCACCTGGGGAGATTTCAACCCTGCCAATGTCCAGGCCACACCTGTAATAGATCTATCAAATCAGGATTTCTAGTGCTGGAGTGCAGACATCAGAATCTTCTCCACCTTCTCCAGGGCCAGGTGCAGTGGCTCACATCTGTAATCCCAGTACTTTGGGAGGCCAAGGTGGGTAGATCACTTGAGGTCAGGAGTTTGAGACCAGCCTAGCCAACATGGTGAAACCCCTGTCTCTACAAAAAATACAAAAATTAGCTGGATGTGGTGGCACACACCTGTAGTCTCAGTTACTCGGGAGGATGAGGAAGGAGAATCGCTTGAACCTGAGAGGCAGAGGTTGCAGTGAGCCTAGATCATGCCACTGCACTCCAGCTTGGGGGACAGAATGAGAGTGTCTCAAAAAAAAATTCTCCATCAGGAAGACCTCTTGGACCCCTGCTGGACTGACTCCCTCTGATAAATGCTCCCTGCACCCTCATCACCAGGTCCCCAGAGCCCTGCACAGTGTCTGACACACAGTCGCACCCAGCATAGATTTCAGCACATGGACTTCTGCTTGGCCCAGGCTCCTGGACTGCAAATGATTTCCAAAGTCTCTGGAGCTAAACATAAGCAGGAAGGAAAGTAGCTGCAGTGGATAGAAACCCACGCCAGGGATCGCAAGGCCACAGGCTGAAGATTTCGGGGCTGGTCACAGGTCTGCTTGCCTACTCCACCCGTCACCTTCATGAGCCCTGACAAAGAAGAGCCTGGCCCCTCAAGGTGAGAGGCTTCCCCACTCTTCCCAATCAGGAGCCTCAGAAAGTGTTTCAGTTTGAGCGTCTCTAGAAGAAGCAGACACTGAGGCAAGGAGCAAATCCTTAGAAACGTCAGTAGGGAGGAAGGGAAGTGAAACAGGGAAGAGAAGAAAGTCAACACAGGTATGTTGATGAGCAAGTGAGTGGTGTGACTGTGGGAGGCAGCATAAGACTTGCTCAAATGCTCGGAGTTATCCCACCCCAGGGACAAGGACCTGGGGTGTTTATTCACAAATTCCCATTGTCCTTGTTTTAAGGATCTTCCTGCAGGATCCACTCCCTAGCACTTCTTGATGGCCTGGCTCAGGGAAATCTTCAGGAAAGAGACCCAGGCTTGCACTATGAAGCTGCCGCACTGGGCGGGAATATAGGCCAGGCACTGACAGCATCTGCCCCAGAGGGTGTAAGGGCCAGCTCCCTGCAAACGAACGCAGTCCTAATAGAAAGCAGCTCCGATCTCCAGAAATGCCCTAGACATAGGTGGTTCCCCCAACACAGCAAGACAGTGTTCTCTGCAACACACAAATTAGATTCGAGCTCCCGCTCTTGGGGCTCGCAGTCTAATTTCTCTTCTACCATGGAGGGTTTAAACCGAGCAAAGGGAGATCTCAGAAAAGGCTGCAGCCCCAGTGGTGGGTGTGGAGGTAGCCTGGTTATTCTTAGCAGTGAGCAAGGGGAGGCAGAAGGGCTAGGCCGGTATTGCAACTTCCAGCAGGGGCAGCCAGGCCACAGTCTTTCCTGCCTTGCCAAGTTTGGTTGGAAATTCTTTCCACCCTGAGGCAGTGGGGAATGTGGGGAATGCAGGGTGGGCCTTCAGAGCCCCTTAAAGAGAGTTTCTCTATCCTGCTGTCAGAGGGGTGGTCAGAAGTAACGGGGGCTGTTCAGACTGCCAGACCAGGCAAGCAGGACCCCCAAGGCTGGGCTCCTGACCCAGCTGTAGTTTTCCTTCTGCTCGAATGCTTTGATTCATGCCAGGACTGGCCCAGGGAGGGTGACAGAAGCTGAAAAGGTACATGTCTTCAAAACCCAGGCAGGAGGCAGGACACTGTCTCAGCTGTGCTGAAGCTCTGAGTTTGGAAGGTTCTAACAGAGCTGAATGCAATCGAGATTTGGTCTTTTGGTTCTAACTTCTGTTGCCATCTGGGAAGTAAACAAAGGATGTGCCTTAGAGTGGCCAAATGGAGGACAGCATGACTCCTGGGGCCAGAGTCCTGAGTTCAAATCCTGGCTCTGCCTCTAACAAGAAGCCACGTGGCACTGAGTAGGTCAATTCACATTGCTGTGCCTCAATTTCCTCAATTATCATAATCCCTACGTGATGACATTGCTGTGAGGGTTGAGTGAGCAAACACAGTTCTTAGAACAAAGCCTGGCATAGAGAAAACAATAAATAGTAACCTATGAATCTTGCATACAGAAGTACTTAGAAAATAGGGACCACAGTGGGTACTGACTGCTTTTCTTTCCCTCTGTCCAGTTATAGGGCTTTTCAGAACATCAGATGCAAAGTCAGATGGATCTGGCCTGGAATCTCTGACTTACTACTTGTTACCCATGTGGCAAATGACTCAGGTTCCTCATCTGTCAAACGGCAATAAACCTAGTAGCCACTTCATAAATTTGTAAAAAGGATTAAATGAGTAAGTGAATATAAACTACATAGCACAGTGCCTGGCCCACAATACACATGACTGTTTATTTCTGCTGGAATTATTCCTTGATCCACTCACTCAATCATCAGACATTTATTGTGCTTCAGGCATGAGCTCTCAGAGAGAAATCAAGTGTGTGCTGTTACTCTCAACAGGCTAGTTCTAAGTACCTGTGGGTCCCCTCAGGAAAGGGGGGTTTTTTTCCAGAAGAAAGTGGAGAGAAATGTTGGAAAGCAGAAACAACTATATCCAACTCCAACTCCTAGATCTGTGGGTATAGTTGGAGGGGTGTGAGTTGGTGTTTAAAATGGAAATGTTTAGAGTGCCAGGAAGCAGGGCTCATGTTCCTGTCTTTCTGATTTTGAGTCTTTAACATACTGTTTGGGAAGCCCGGGGCAGCGTGGTGGATTGAAAATGATGTACATTCTATTGAGAAACAGAGGCTATTTCACCTCCTGTGAATCTGGGCAGACCTTAGTAACTTGCTTGACCTATAGAATGTGGCAGAAGTGACATCCTGGAGCACCTAAGGCTGGGTCATAGATACCTTGCTGCAAGTTGGGTGTGGTGATGTGCACCTGCAGTCCCAGACTTGAGACTTGTGAGGCTGAGGCAGAAGGATCACTTGAACTCAGAAGTTCAAGGTTGCAGTGAGCTATGATTGCACCTGTGAATAGCCGCTGCATTCCAGCCTGGACAACATAGTAAGACTCTGTCGAAGAAAAGAAAGGGAGAAAGAAAGAGAGAGAGAGAGGAAGGAAGAAAGAGAAAGAGGAAGGAAGGAAGGAAGGAAGGAAGGAAGGAAGGGAGGGAGGGAGGGAGGGAGGGAGGGAGGGAAGCCAGCCCACCTGTCTGCAATTGTACCATTGTATCCAGAACAAGCAGTGCCTCCCAAGTGGGCTGTGAGCCGTGTTTTGTGAGATCACTCAGAGAAATAGGTGCACCTTAATTCAATAAACTTGCGAAATGACACAGTAGACCTGCCTCCCCACTTCATACCAAAGAGACTTCTCCATATACTTTAGCATTTAAAGGTCCTGAGAAGTCCTGCATTAAGGAATCCTTTCACTTCTGTTTAACCTACAGTTACCTTGTAACACCTACCAATATATTCCCCTGTAATTTACCAACACTTCAGGGAATGCTAACCTAGACCCACGCATTAAAGACCTTTGGGTCAGAGAAGTTTTACAGCTTGGAGAAAAAGCCTTTTTCTCTCCCACCTCCACAGCCCCTCCCTCTTTTTCACTTCCCTCCCTCTGTCATGAGTGGGCAGGGCCAAGCATTGTTCACCAGCTTCTGCATCTGGTTCAGCTAAGTAGAATAAACTGGCAACATTAAAGCAAAAAAGTCATGCTGCAGGCATTTTCAAATTACCTAGTCTCTCTGGAGAAACCAACTGGGGGTGAGGCCCAGAAATTGGGGAAATGTAATGCATAATAATAACCATTAAAAAAACAGAGGAAAATGATTTGTAGGATTATTGAGTGCCAGAACCCCAAAGCTATAAACAGGATGTTTGAAACGATTTCAAGCATAAAGGTCACAATCTGCAATTTAAATGTCGGTAGTTTGTTGCCTTTTTTCTTGGTTATGGTTGGGTGCCACCAATTAGTTCAAGCGTGTGTGCGTGTGTGTGTGTGTGTGTGTGTGTGTGTGTGTATAAAGGTTTTTCAGAGTACACTGGGCTTCTCAGTCAGGCTGAGTTGGTTGGCAGCCTGGAAACCCACACAGGAGTGGGCAAATCCTTTACAGCATGAAAGCAAGGAGGACCCTTCTGCTACACAGTGAAAGTCTTCTTCCTCTTTCTGCAAAAATAAAAATATAACACAACACAAACACTTTACTCCCTTCAGCAGTCTGCAGTTATTTTACCCTGAAAAAAATGAATCATTGAAAAATCCTGGGGTGGGATTGCCACCAAACCTCAACCTAGTCTGGTGGTCTTATTAATGCCAATCCTATATTCTGACTTGGCCAATGCCTTGAGAGGGTATTTATTAGGGTGAACATTGGGGTTGTTCCTTGAAACCTTTGCTCGTGGATAAACACCTTTGGAGTTGATTTTGTGGCTGGGGGAGAGGTCAGTAAGCTGATGGCCATACACGCCTGTATGTCTCTCTTGAGGTTGGAACCATCAATCCTGGACACAGGAAGTTGGGTTGTGACAGTCAGGAAGACGGGGTTAAACTAGGAGTGGCTGACAGGACAGGGTCTCTCAAACTTTGATGTACACATGAATCACTGGGAATCTTATTGAAATGCAGATTCTGGCTCTATAGGTCTGGGTTGGAGCTTGAGATTCTCTATTTCCAACAAGCTCCCAGGTGAAGCCGGTGCTGCTAGTCTTAGGATAACACTTTGGCTAGTGAAGCTCTAGACCAGGCTGTCTGATAGACTGATTTGCTCTGATGGCAGTGTTCTATATTTGTGCTATTCAGTGTGGTAGCCACTAGCCACATGTTCCTACTGAGTAATTGAAATGTGGTGAGAGTAAATAACTGAATTTATTTGGAGAAATTCTTTATTTTTAAATGCTTAAAAGGACAAACTTCTTGCAGGAAGTTTCCAGAGTATGTAACATCTGTGTTATGATGACATTCTATTTCTGGAATCTCATGCTTAGAAATTGGCATCGGAAGGCTTACCAAACCTTTGAAATATGTGTGTGTGTTTGAAATGTATATGTGTATGTTTGTGTGTATGCATATTTATATTTTCATATACATATGTACACACACATATATACACATATATATTCTAGGGTTCTATAAGGACTTCAACATCAACTATCAAGTAGCTCTCAGCAATGAACTAAATTTCCTCCTTGAAAAAGCAGGTTAAGTACCAGAAGAGGACGAAGAAAAGGCACTCAGATTTTTTTTAACTGATGTGTTCTTTTTTCCCCAGCTTTATTGAGGTATAATTGGCAAATAAAAATTGTATATATTTAAGGTGTATAACATGATGTTTTGATACACATACATGTAGACATTGTGAAGAGATAACCACAATCAAGCTAATTAACATATCCATCACCTCACATCTTTATTATTTTTAATTTTTTGTGGTGATGTTATGGAACCAAACTGGGTCCATTTGCCGACATGTAATGCCAAGTCACACACTGAAACACCGGGTTTTTGCAGTGATAAAGGTTTACTGTGAATTGACTGGCAAGGAGACAGGAGGAAACACTCAAAACTTGTCTCCACAAGCTGGGAGTTGGGGCAGGCTTTATAGTCAGAGGGTAATGAGGTGTGATCTGATTGGATCTTGCCATGAGGTGATACCAGGAGGCGTGCTCTGACTGGACCATACCGTGGGGTGAGGCCAGGGCTCAATCTGATTGGACCCCGGACCCTGCCATATGGTGTCCATTTCTTAATTCAGTATCCCCTCCTCCAACCAAGCACTTAGGTTCTACCCCTGGTTGCATGCTTGGTTCATCTGGGCATGCTCAGGTTACGTAACCTTCAAACTGGGAGTCCATGGCAACTGAAAACTCACAACTTTCTTACATAAAAGTTGAACCAGATTAGTCTTGTGAAGTTACAATAAGAACATTTAAGATCTACTCTTTTGGCAAATTTCAAGTGTACTATAGAGTATTATTAACAATAGTCATCATGTTATATATTAGATCTCCAGAAGTTATTCATCCTGCATAACTGAAACTTTCTGCCTTTTGACCAACATCCCCCCATTTCCCCTCCCACTCTTCAGCCTCTGGCAATCACCTTTCTACTCTCTGCTTCTATGAGTTTGACCTTTTTTAGATTCTACCAAGTGTGATTGTGCAGTATTTGTCTTTCTGTGTCTGGGTTGTTTCACTTAGCATAATGTCCTCTAGGTTCATCTGTGTTATTACAAACAACAGGATTTCCATCTTTTTACAAGCTGAATAATATTTCAGTGTGTATGTGTGTGTGCCACATTTTCTTTACCCATTCATCTATCAGTGGACATTTAGGTTGATTTCATATGTTGGCTATTGTGAATAGTGCTGCAATGAGCATGAGAGTGCAGATGAGCATAAGAGTGCAGATGTCTCTAAAATATACTGACTTAATTTTCTTTGGATTTATATCCAGAAGTGGGATTGCTGGATCATATGTGAGTTCTATTGTTAATTTTTTTATGAATCTCCATACTGTTTTCCATAATGGCTGTACCAGTTTACATTCCCACCAACAATGGACAAGGGTTCCCTTTCTCCACACCCTTCCCAACCCGTGTTATCTCTCATCTTTTTGATCATAATCATCCTAACAGGTATGAGGTGATAGCTCATTGGGATTTTGATTTGCATTTCCCTGATGATTAGTGATGTTGGGCACATTTTCCATACCTGATGACCATTTGTGTTTCTTCTTTTGAGCAATGTCTATTCAGATGCATTGCCTGTTTTTCAATCAGGTTATTTGTTTTCTTGCTCTGAATTTTTAATTTAACTTAATTTAATTATTTTAAATTTAAATAGCCACAGTGGCTAGTGGCTACTGCATTGGACTGTGCAGTTCCAGCCTGTCAGCTCTGTATGGGAGGGACCATATCTTTAGCTCACTGTTGTGTCCCATTACTTAGCTGAGTGCCTGGTCCACATCAGTTTCTTAGTAAATATTTATTGATGACATTATGGCATAATAAAACTGGAGAAGGAGTTTTAAACCATTCACATGTCAGAACCCTATGATTGTAAGTCACCAAAACCCATCTTAAACTTGAACCTACCAAAGGCCTACCAATTGGCTCTTTTGACCCAAATTGCAGAAAGATCTGGGGTGTAGCTGGTCTTGGGGTGGGAAGGTTAGATCCAGGAACTAATTCATCAACATATTCTTTCTCTCGCGGTTTGTCTGCATTCATTCTTTCAGGACAGTTGTCCCCACTGGGCTCAAACCAACATCACAGGTAGCTCTGCACCTCCCAACTCAGAGCCTCATGACCACATCAAATAGAGCTGTTTTCCATTGTAGTGAATTCTGACAAATTTATGTTGCCTTAGCATCTGCTTGGAACACAAGTTTAATTTTCTCAAACCAGAAGCAGGGCTCGCTGACTCCTGACATAGTTTCAGTTCTACACCACACCCAAATTGCTAGAGCCAGTGGCTGAAGATAAGAACTCGAGGCCTCTGTCCTGCCTAGCAACTGGGCTCCCCACTTTCCTGTTGAATCATTTAAAGGGGCCATTCAGACATTTCCTTGCAAACTGAAAGTGACCCACACCCTGTTCCCTTATATGTACTGCACACCATGTCCTTCTCTCTCTCTCTCTCTCTCTCTCTGCCTGACTCTTCATTTCTGCCTTGCATGACCTGGGGACAGAAGACTGTCCTCCCAACTCATTATGCCCTCCTTGCCTTGAATCTTCTAGTAGAAAATTTTGAACTTATTTCCTCTTGTGATGGTGTATTGAATTTGCATCTTGCATCTGAAGAACTAGGGGCTGCCCCAGGCTGGGTTTGCCCCAGGCTGGGTTTGCCCCAGGGACACCAGGTAAAACAGAAGGGCAGGATCCCAGTGCCAATGCAATGGTCAGACAAGGATAAACTGGCTACGGGTCAGATGAGAGCGACAGGGTGTCTGCCAATATAAACAAGTTTCCCAGGTGAGAGATCTCCTGGTCGCAGGTCAGACAACTAGGCATTAGGTCATCTGCCAGGTAAAATAAGTATCTCATGAAAGGCACTGTGTAGACACCCATGTCCAGCTCCCCTTTGTTTCCCATGAGAGCAGGGCCACTAGCCAGTCTGCTACTGGAACCCTAGTTGAGCTGGGGGCTCTCAAAACACCCACCAAGACCAAGCAGAACAATTATCAGGGAAGGTTTCTGATTGGCCGGGCTTGAGTCATCATGTGCCAATTGCTGGACCAATCACTGTGGCCAGGGCAATGGAGTTCTAAGACTGGCCCAGCCAGGCTCAATGGCATCCCATCTACATCTACATTCAGGGATGACTTCCTCCAGACACATGTGTTGTAGTTCGGAGCAGCAGTTCCTACAAAGATGAGGTATGCTCTGCTGGGCAAATGAAACAACAAATGCACGAGAGGAGAGGAGGGGTTTTGAGCTCAAGAAAATGGTTGCTGTGATGTATTTCTTTGCACTAGACCATGGATACAAGGTAGTTGTGATGTATTTCTTTGCGCTAGACCATGGATACAAAACTGCCTTCTTTGATCATGTCAAAAGGTATAATGAGGGTAGTAAGATTCAACTGGCCACACCAGTTTCCGTCTGTACTCCCTGGCCCTGCTATATTAGTGAGGGTTCTAGAAACTAAGACATCCCAAAGGAAGGCAACATGTGAAACACAAGGCTGAGCAGGAGTTTGTTGGATGGAAAAATGGAAGGGAGGAAAGAGCAGTCCAAGGAGAGAAAACCACTCAAAGGCAAGGCAGTAAAGGAGTAGAGCATGGGAGGAGGCATGGAGAATCCGCCCTGGAGGGTGGAGGGGAGCTGTGGAAATGCAGCAGGAAGTGGATCTGAGGCCAGACGTCAAAAGGCCTTAGCACTGAGTGGAGGAGTTTGGGCTTTTAGCTGTGTGTGCTGGGAAGCCGCTTAGAGGTCTTAAGCAGGAGCGGGGTATAGCCAGAGCTGTGTCTGTCCTAAAAGATTGTTGCGGCTGGGTTTGGGGGATGGACAAGATGGTGAGAGGAGGCAGGGTGCCAAGGACAACGATGTCCCCATATGTCTTTAAAGAGCTCCTGCTTCAGAGGTGGGCGGTGGAACAGCAAGCTCCATTCTGGCTGCCTGAGTGTTGACTCCCTGTCTCTTTGCTCAGACCCTGGCTGGGTGAGGTCCGGATCTTAGCTGCACCAGTTCCCAGCACTGTGACACTGGGCAGGTGATCTAACTTTTCCCTGAGCCTCCGTCTTCCCATTTGGGGAATACCTGCCTTTCACGGCAGTAGTGAGATTGCAAGGCCAAAATGGATGTGAGGGCTCCGGATCAGTGGACCCTGGACCTACACAGAATAGGAGCTCAGTAAATGTTGCTGTTGTTATTAACGGGCTGTGGCTCGTAAGTGTATTCACATGGAAAAGGTTTGAACTGTGAAGTCCTGGGGGAAAAGTGACATTCAAAAGACGGAAGCTTCTTGGAGCAGTTCTGTAACCAGGTCAGGCTGACTCCTGCAAACTGCAAGGTAAAAATCATCCATCCAGCCCGTGAGCCCATGGCTCTCAGAGATCCCAGGAGGCTTGTGTGTCTAAACTGGAACGTGCCAGAAGAGGCTGCTTTCCAAGATCCTTTCTCTGGAGGCCAGGCTGGAGTCCCCTGAGAGAATGAGGGCATCGTGCTACATTTTAGACTGCAACTGGGATTGACCCATTTGCCAGCCGTGACAGCCATGTGTCCCAGTGGAAAATCCCCAGGGTGGAGCCAGAATAACCTAGGCCTGAAACCTGCACGTTCTGTGAGTTTGGGAAAGTCACTTCATCTCATGGGCCTCAGTTTTTCAATTTGCAAGATGGAAACAATACTGGCCATGGGGGTCTGTTGCAAGGATTAAATCAACAAATGCACGTGGCATGTGGCTGTGGCTCCAGGTGGGGGTCAGGAACCTGCATGTATTGAGTCCTTACAGTGTGTAAGGCCATTGCTAAGTGCTAGTGATACACAGACAAATTAGATATGGATCCTGCATTCAGGGGCAAGCTTGTGGTACAGCTAACTGAACAGATAACAAATGATGATAAAAGATAATCTCTGCTCAGTACTGTTTCTTTCAACAAGAGATGTGCCAATGTGTGCTGAATATGAGTTGTCCATGGAAGTAAAAATATACTTCAAGATAATATTCATGTCTTGGAGACTATGGCCCTACAGTTTATGGAATCATAGAAATACTGAAAGTAACCATCTACATATGATAAGTCTGTTCATTTTAATAGTAATGACAAAAATACTGTTATAGCATTTGACCTTCAAAACAACTCCACAGGTAGAGATTCTTGTCCCCATTCTACAGATGAGTAAACTGAAGCTCAGAGAAGTGAGATGGCCTGCCTAAGGTCACATAGGAAGAGCTGGGTCTAAGACTTGAACCCAGATCCAACATCTAATCCCTCACCTGTACCATGAAAATACACCACATGGAACATCTTCAGGAAGTACGTGGCAACCAACAGACACAGAGGAACTGGTCAGAAGAGTCTGTAAGTCCACAGATATTCATGGAGCATCTACTCTGCCAGGCTTGCTCTCTGAACAGGATGATTTCTGCCCTTGTGGAGTTTATAGTCCAGAGGGGAAGACAGCCATGCAATAAATAATTAACATGGATGCTCTTAAGAGATACTCTGCTCCCCACTCCATAACCAATTCACTGAATAAACTAATGCTCATATTCGCCTTCTGTAGAACATTTGGAGTGAACTCATGGTCTACTGAAGACAAGCAGGCAGGGCCATCCATGCCTAACCTGAGAATCCAAACCCACCAAAGAGCAGTCTTCTCCAGGCTTTTGCTAGGCTGGCTGAGACTTTCTCAGGGCTGTGCTGCAGTCCGAGGCTCTTTCTGCATAGCCTTCCTTCCTTCCTCCTCTCCCTTCCCAGGGGTCAGACCTGCATCACAGTCTGAAGGCACTGTCTGCTCTCTCTCTAACCTCCCTCTCTCTCTAGCCTCCACCTCCAATGAAAGTTTCCTCCAGTAAATCTTTTGTGCTCCTAATTCCACGTTGGTACCTGCTTTGCAGAGGACTGAGTGGATTGAGTGTCCTGCAGAAGTGAGGTTCACACCAAGGCCTGATGCCTCAGTAGCTGGGGCAAGTCATGGGGAGCAGTGCTTCTGGGGGAAGGAAGGGTAGGAGAGGGTGTGGCTGAGGACAGAATCAGTTCACAAATAAATAATTTAATAAATGATTTCACTCCTTTCTGGTGTTCACACTTGGGTGACCCATTGGAGCCTCAGTTTCCTCCCTTACAAAATAGTAAAAAACAATAATGCTATTACCTCTCTCCTAGGCTGTTGGATTAAATAAGGATTAAATAAAATAATTCCTGCTCAATGGCTCAGAGCCATGTGTATTCTGGCAAGCGTGTGGGAGGAACCACACGGCAGGATGGCAGGAGGTGGGGGCCTACCAGGAGCCCCTCGGGCATCCCAGGCTGCCTTACCTTTCCGTGGCCTCTGCAGTCTCTCAAAGAGCTCCCACGGCTCTTCTTGCAGAAGCCACACCCGAGGGAGGCATCTGTTCTCTCTGCCCACAAATATGGCCCCAGTGAAAGGGTCCACCTCACAGATATTTTTGCTGCAATATGTGGTGTCACTATGGCAGTTTGACCATTATCTGGGTCATTTGAGCCCGAGAATCTGCCAAATCAGATAATTTTGGTGGTTTGCCTGTCTCTCTGGATCACATGTCCTGAGTAATGGCCCTGGTCTCCACCTGGCCTGGTTCTACGTTGACAATCTTCTTTTCAGAAAGCCTGAAATGAAAGCTGGCTCTGGCTGGTATGTTCAAGGTCAAGGCTTAAGAGGAGACGCTAATTTAGAGTCCTACATTTACCCCCCTTATTATGTGGCTCCATCCAGGATGGTGCTTAGGCATCAGTAACTGATAAAGGTTAAAATACTGAAATTTGCAAATTTTTGCATTTAAAAAACACTTTTAACTGAAGTCTAACGTATGTACACAAGCGTACAAATAAGGGTACAGCTTGATGCATTTTTACAAAGAACACGTTCATGTAACCAGCACCCAGATTAATATTTCAGCCCCGGGAATCATCCCTGCCCCACTAGCCCCCTTCCAGTAACAACCTCCCACCCAAGTGTAACCACTCTTCTAGCAGCTTGGTTAGTTTTGCAATTTCTGAACTTACATAAATGGCAGCAGACCATGTGTGCTCCCCCAGGTCTGGCTTCCTTCATTTAACATTCAGTTTGTGACATTCATCCATATGATTGTATGGTAGCCATGCTTCATTCATTTGTACTGCTGTATAGTATTCCATGGAATACTATATTCCGATGGAAGTTTCCTCCAGTACACCTTCTGCACTTCTAATTCCACCTTGATGCCTGCTTTGCAGAGGACTGAACAGATCGAGCATGAATGAATTCAGCACTATTTACCCATTCTTCCACTGATGGATATTTGGCTCCAGTTTGGGGGTATTATAAATAGTCCATTCTAGGATGTGTATTTTTGTAAAAATATCTGCCCATTTGTGTTAAGTATCAAATTTTAAAAATCTTTTTAGAGATAGGGTCTGGCTGTGTTGCCTAAGCTGGAGTGCAGTGGCATGACCTTGGCTCGCTGCAGCCTCAACCTCCTAGGCTTAAGTGATCTTACCTCAGCCTTCTGAGTCCTGGGACCACAGGCACGCACCACTATGCCCAGCTAATTTTTGTATTTTTTTTTTTTTTATAGAGACAGGGTCTCACTTTGTTGCCCAAACTGAGTCAAATTTTTTGTTATTTAAAAGTTTGATTAGAAAAGGATGGCCTTATAGGATTATCATTCTTAATCTCTTTCAAAATAATATAAATACGTTTTGGATTGAGAGAAGGGGTGAAACCATGTTAGGACTCCTGAAGCTGCGCTTGTCCCCCTGCCTCTGGGATCTGTGTCCTAGCTTTCCCAGGTCTGCCATCTGACTGTCATTGATCCCCTGGAACAAGGTAAAGGTTTCTGGAGATTTTGTAGGAAGTGCATTAAAGTGGAAGTCCCATACAGTACCTCACCCAGGAGGACCCTCCATGCACATGGAGAATTTCATATGACCTCGGGCAACTTAATCTTGTTAGTCTCAGCGATTTCACCTGCAAAGAAAGGTTAGCAATGGATGATCTTCTGAGATGTTTCCAGCCCTCAAATGATTTGAGACTGATTTGCTGTTGACGATTCATAATTATGACAACAGTTATCTGTTGAGTGTTTATATTGCTTTAAACAATTTCTACAGATTATCTCATTTAATTCGTCAAGGAAATCACCTTGGAAGAATCGTAATGTTTAGGAAACTGAAGCTCAGAGAGGTTAAATCCCTTGCTCAAGGCACACAGCCAACAAACAAACTTCAGAATGGGGTAGAAATGAGGCCAGTTCCACTCTGGCATTGACTGTTAGCAGTGGCCCCATTCTTCTTTCTTTAATTAAATATTTCAGGCATAGAAAAACGTGCAAAAAATAACAGAACAAGCTTCTATGAAACAGAACATGAAAAACACACTTAAATCTCTTTGCAAACCCTCCCAAACCACTTTCTTCCCAGCTGTGGTAACCTCTCTCCTGAATTTGGTGTTCATCATTCCATCATGTTTTTATGATTTTACTATATATATATATATATATATACATATATATATGCATAAAAATATACTGAATTGCTTTTCAGGTTTTTGCATGTTAGTAAATAGTAAAATTCTATATGTGTCCTGTGGCAACTCGCTTTTTTCCCCCACTCAACACTATAGTATTTTAGATTTATCTGTGATGATACATAGAGTTCTAGCTCATTAATTTTCACTGCTGCATGGTACTCTCCTTTAAGAATATACTGGAATTGATCCATCCATTCTCTTGTTGATAAGCATTTAGATTCCTTCCAGTTTTCCACCATTAAAAAGTGCTGCAATATATATTCTTCTACATTTGTATACTGAAATTCTGATGGATGAACTCTCTTGATCATACCAGGGCCTCTGGTCTGAATATGTGTGTCCTTCCAAAATGCATATGTTGAACCAAGCCTCCAAGGTGATGGTGTTAGGAGCTGGGGCCTTTGGGGGGTGATTAGAGTAGGAGGGTGGAACCCTCATGATTGAGATGAGTGCCCATATAAAGGAGTCTCCAAAGAGCTAGCTAGCCATTTCTACCATGTGAGGGCACGGTGAGAAGGTACCATCTATAAACCAGCAAAAAGCAGCCCCTTAGCAGACACCAAATCTGCTAGTGCCATGACCTTGGACTTCTCAGCCTCCAGAACTATGAGAAATAAACTTCTATTTTTTATAAGCCATCCAGTTTACCATATTTTGTTATAGCAGCCCAAACAGACTAAGATACCAGGTTTTCTTCTAATTTCTATATATCTATGATAATATTGGACAGTTTTCTTCATTCATCAACTTTTTTCTGAGCACCTACTATGTGCCAAGCCCTGTGTCGGGTGCTAGGAACAGAGAAGTGGTTACAAGACACAGCTCTTGATCTCCAGGAGTGCTTGGGAGACCAAGCATCAACCTCTGTCAGATGGGCTGGGGGGATGCTGGGAGCTCACAGTAGGGCTCTAAATGGAGTGGCCAGGGAGCAAAGAGATGCCATGGATGATGGAGAAACACAGGGCTGTGGAGGTTATGACCAGCCTATCTTGGACACTGCACCCAAGCTCCTTGAATTCAAAGACCTCTTTCAGTGTATATCTGCCCCAGGACAAAGTCACAGTGACCCCTTGCAACTCCCTCTTCCCAACCTCATTCTCCCTTTCACATATTAATAGTAATGTGAGTTAGTTGTTTTTTGCCTGAAAAAAAAATCTGTGACAACTACACACACTTGAATTCCAGGGCTAGAATTCTCTCCAGCGCCCTGAATAAATGACATCCACACTTTGCCTTGGATATATACTGTCCATCTGGAATCATTATAATAACAGGTCATGGCTTGTGTGCATAATACATGTATGGTCGACACTATGGTAAACTGTCTGTATGAGCCTATCACTTAATCTGCACAAAATGCTTATAAAGTTAGAAATACTATTCTTTCAATTTTGTAGAAGATAAGGCCCAGAGAGGTTAATTAACTTACCCAACGTCACCCAGCTAGGAGATGGCAGAGCTGGGGCTCCATTCCAGGTCTGGCTGACTCCAGATTCCTTCATCTCAACCCTTTGAGCTCTGTCAGGATATGCCTGACATTTCTGAAGGCAAGTCCCCTTCTTTCCACAATAGAGCAATACCATCTAAGGGAAGTTACTTACCGCCTGACACAGCCCACTCACTACTCGCACATTCTCTCCACTTGCTCCAGCTACTGAGGAAATTAGAGCAAATCCTATTTTTAGACACTGTGGTTCAAATGACAGTGATGTATGGGGTAGTGACTCGTTTTATGAACATAGTTCGGAGGTGTCGGCGGATCTTACTGCTCGGAAACTCTCTTACATCACCCTGTTTTGCTCTTTATAATTTATTTCAAAGATCGCTTTGTTTCTTCTCCCTCCTCCGTGAGTCCTGCAACAGACTTCAGCCAGAAACAATAAAATTCTGAGCTGAAATAAAAGGCAATGAGAGAGGATGAGGCTTCTCTCAGAAACCTGAAACACAAATCATGTCAGGGATACATAGGGGTGGAGCACAAGCCCTTAGCAAAAATTAGAGTGTGCTCAATGGTTAGGACTAGAAAAAACAGACTTCATCCCTTCTTAGCAAAATTGATTGTGTGTGTGTTTTAGATGAAAATCCTAACTTTACTGCTTATTTTTTTATGGCTAATTATAATCTGCTAGTTTTGAAGGCCAGCAAGAGGGCTAAACAATGCTTGTGCAGAGCCCTGGCAACCTCAAGACAGGTAGGGATAAAGAGGAAGAACCGAAGAGGAGGGAGGGAGATGATTGACAGGAAGTGTACGGAACAAATGTGGAGGGCTTAACATGTGCTGCTGGGAACACCCACCCACTTTAATCAGTTTCATTCTCTTGTCAACATTAGAAGAAATCTTTAGTCCTATTTTACCGATTGGGCAACCAAGGCCAGAGAGGCTAAGTCATTTACTTTAGGACATACAGCTGGTAATTATGGAGTTAGGATTGCAAGATGCAGCAAAATAAAATAAAGGACATCCAATTATATTTGGGTTCTGAGTAAACAATGTAAAAAAAATAGTGAAAGTATATCCCATGTAAAATTTCAGACTTATACTAAAAATTTAACTGGGCATCCTGTATTTTACCTGGCAACTGTTGAGGAGATTCAAATTCAGTTCTCTTTGTTATTTCCCAGACACCCCTTACTATGGGACATATATAATACTGTAGAATATGTGATCAGTACCAGCAGATACTGGTTGAGTTCAGGCCTCAAGCTTTATATCTGCCATTTTGCTTGAAACCCTTTAATCCTTATATCACCTATCCAGTAGGTATTATCATTGTTCCCATTTTATGGATGAGGAAACTGAGGCTCCTTAAGATGAAATAACTTGGTCACGGTGACACAACCAGAAAGTACTAGAGCCCATGCTTGAACCCAGTTCTGTTTTGCTCAAGAATGGTCTCTCAAAAAAAAAAAAAAAAAAGAAACACAAAAAAACAAAAAACAGTTAAGATTTAACCCATGTACAGAAAAGCACTTGATATGTAAATGTACAGTACAACGACTTGTCACAAACACCTGTGCAGCCACCAGCCAGATCAAGAAAGAAAAGATGTCCAGCTCCCGTTAGATGCCCTGCCCCGTCATGAGAAGGGCTCTTCTGCCAGAGCTTCTCTGGGAATTCTTTGACTACGGGCATTACTGTCCCCATTTTACAGATGGGGACACAAAGGTTCAGAGAGGTGCTGTGACTTGCCCAAGGTCACAGAGATTGGAAAGCAACAGGCTCAGAGAGGGCGAGTGATCACCCAGAGGTTACACAGCTAAAACTTACCACCTGTTAAAACTACAAACTAAATACCAAAAACCGAAACTGCGCTTTATTGGGTGTTTACTATTTGTGAGGCACCGTGCTAAGCTTCTTGGTCGACAACAGTAGCAGCAGCAGCAAGCACTCTGCCATTTGGGGTGCATACTCCCCATGTCAGGCAGCTTGGCACTTTGCGTAATCCGCTCAGTGAATTTTTCCAGCGACCCTATGGTTTGGGCTTGGGTCTCGAACCCATTTTACAGAAGAGGACACTGAGGCCGGAAGGCTGAGGCCCCTGCCCGATATGCTCAGCCGGCCTGGCACCGGCTATGCCCGGCTCCCCGGGAGGCTGCGGGAGGGCCAGGTGGCATGCAAGGAGTTAAGCGGTAGGCAGTGCTGTGGCTCCGTGCGAGGAGCGCGCCGGGCTGAGGCGCGCTGCTGGTGGCGGCGGCGGCAGCGGCGCGGGAGCTAGGGCTGGAGACGTGAAGTCCAGGGGAGCGAGCAAGGCAGCCAAGGAGGCAGCGGCGAGGCAGCGAGAGAGAGCCAGGCGGCCGGAGCTCCGCGCCGAGCCGCAGCCGGTGCCCTGCGCGCACCGGGCCCGGGCATCTCCATCCCCGGGGCGGGTGCCCGCGCGGGGCCTCGCCGCGGCTCGGGGCACCCGCAGTGCCGCCCGCCCGAGCGCCAGGCTCACAGGAGCCCGGCTTTCACTTCCTCTCGCTTCCGCCCGCCTCCCTGGCTCGCCGGCTGGCGTCGCCACCGCCTCCTCGTCCCCGGCCACCGCTGTCGCCGCTGCTGCAATTCAAGGCGCACACTATCCCACTTTCCCGCTGGA
This sequence comes from Homo sapiens, assembly GCF_000001405.40. Taxonomy (NCBI): domain Eukaryota; kingdom Metazoa; phylum Chordata; class Mammalia; order Primates; family Hominidae; genus Homo; species Homo sapiens. The sequence continues at coordinate 108,129,693 of NC_000012.12, forward strand.
GGCGCAGAGGATGCCCCTTGAGCCAGACCTGGAGAAATAGCCCCAGGGCCCGGCAGGAGGAGCCTTGGTGGCGAGAAAGGAAATCCAGGCTCCCCTTTCCTTAAAGCCACTGCAGCAGCTGGGAAGGCGCCCACAGAGCGGGCGCGCCAAGCGGGACGCGGGAGTCGCAGAGAGGGACCCCGGGCGCCTGCTGAGCTCAGCTGGCAGAGTTTGCAAGTGGCGGAGACCCTTCAGGTAAGGACTCAGGTGCCTGGACCTGGGAAGAGGGCTCCAGGAGGGAGCCGGGCGCGGAGCTGGTGCGAAATGTCTTCTGCCCCTAGATCTGGGCTTCGCTTTCCAGACGCTTCCCCGCAGGTTGGGGGCTCGTCGTCCAGAGCCCGGCGAGTGAGGAACCCAGAGTGGTGACAGCCCAGCTCTGCGTAGATGACAAACTTTCTCTCCTCTGGCAGAGGGTGGGACATTCCGGCTCATCCAGGCATCCTTCCTCTGGGCATTCCTGTGCCCCCTACAGGCATGCATTCAAGGGCTTCTCCCGCGGAGGTGGGCCAGCGGGGAGGCAGTGGGCCCCGTAAATTTGATTTATGAATCACCCTCTTTCTGGCCAGTGCAGAGTTCCAAGGGAGAGGGAGCTAGTCATATTTCCAAGTTGGCTGTAGAAGATGTTTCTTGGGGGTGATACTCTGGTGAATAAGGCTGCCTGTCATCTGATGCCAACAGCCAGAGCTGCCCAGGCAATGGGCTTTGTGTAGGGTGCCTTGCAGATTTGCTTATGTCCATTCTGGGGTGTGTGTGTGTGTGTGTGTGTGTGTGTGTGTGTGTGTGTGTGTGTAAAGAGAGAGAGGGAACTAGAGACTAGGGGACCAACTCAGCCAAATCGCCTCCTTGCAAGCCTTTCCAGCAGCCCCAGGTATCTTGGAAAGAGCCAACTCACCTCCTTGGCAGAACCACTAGGAAGGGTGGAGGTCACTTCCTAATTCTTACAGCTTCAAAGGGGCTGCTCCTTAGGTGAGCAAAAAAATAGGGGAAGTTTCCTGGCTGCTCAATGAGACCATTCCTATTGGAGCCTGGGGAGGTGCAAACTTTTTGCAGAAAAGGGGCTGGAAGGGCCACGTGGAGAGGGCCTCCTGACATTCTCATCCCCACACTCTAGGCCCCTAGAGGCTCTGCTGAGCCCCATGCACAGCTCATAAGTTTGGCTAGATGATTTTTTCTATTAGTAAAAAGCATGCTCCAAGGAGATCACCTGGTCTCTGAGGATCATTTTAGAGCCGCCCCTGTGGTCACAGCCCCATAGATGGCATGGTGCTACCTACTTGGGCTGGGCATCTGCCTCTGCGGAGTAGCATTGCTGTGTTGTTTTTAAGACAGTTCTTGGGGTGTGAGGTGGGATTCCGATCTCAGGCCAAGTTAGAGCTGCGTCCCTAGGCTGCCAAAACCCAAGAATTCCTCCAGGGCGTCAGAATCTGGTGCTTGATGTCCTGGAAAAAGCCCTGGGTCTGGGTCAGGAGATTGAGCTTCAAGTTGGCTCTCATTTGCTGTGTGACTTTGGGCAAATCACTAGACCTCTCTGGGCTTCAGTTGCTGCTTCTCAAAAATGAAGAGATTTCATGTATCCTCAGAGGTCCCAGTTCAGTTGAGACACTCTATGGCCCTGAGTGATTGTCACTGATGAGATTTTTGTAATCCCAGGAGGGGATCTTAATTTAGAATTTAAGAGACCTAGGTCTCAGATCAGATCTAAGTTTGACCAGTGACTTCCCTCTCCACGCTTCGGCTCCTCCACTGTAGGATGGGAAGTTCACAGTTCCTACTTTACAGGGCTGAGAGGACTAACTGAGATGGTGCCTGGAGGGTGCTGAGTGTAGAGTTTAGCAAAGAGTGAAGCTCAACGGTGCCAAGGCTACCTGCTTTTGGGTCTTGTGTGGGGCATCTATCTGGGTGCTGTTTTCCCCAGGGAGGCTGGCCCTGTCCCACCAAGCACCAGGTGATCCTTGACTACATGGCAGGGCCCTTGTTCTCTCCAATCACCTGACACTGCAGTCCCCGCCCTCTCTCTGCTTTCTCATAAAATCTCTGCTGGACCAGCCACTCCTAGTGGGGAGCCCAGGGTGGTCTGGGAGTGCTGCATGCACCCAGCTGCTGTATCACCAGGACATCAGGAGGTGGAGGTAGGCAGTCTCCATGGCTTCAACTTCGCAGCTGTCTAGGGACCAGGGCAGAGAAGTTCAGAATGTCTGCGTGTAGGGCACTCAGCTGACGCTTGAGAACTACCCCATGCTGGGCAGACAAGGCTACTGTTCTTGGCAGGAAAAGTCAAGCTGGGGAAAGAAGTGTCTTACAGCATTGTGTGTGTGTGTGTACGCATGTGTGTGTGTGTGCCTGCGTATGCACACATGGGGGAATGATGAAATTGTCAGGGAATGCAGTGGACTGGTCAGTGTGATTTTTTTCTGCGTGGTTCTGAGGCTTGTGGGTTGCCCCGGGTTTATGCTGAAACCATCAGTGGGGAAGGCAGACCCCATCCCAGTGACATGGAGTGAATTCATGGGGAACAGGAGCAATTCCACTGTGTGCTTGCTTGGACTTGACTTTTAAGACTCTGAAAAAACGAACAATTTGCTTTCATGGTAGAGTAAGGTGTGTGTGTGGACACGTGTGTGAATGTGTGCATATGTGTGCATTCTCATGCAGGTGTGGGCTCATGTGCTTGTGTGAGCATAACTTACATGAGAACCATAAGTGTGTGCACTCATGAGATAGTGTCAGTGTGAGTGTGTACTTGGTGTCTGATGGATTTATGAGTGTGAGCGTGCATGTCTATGGATTTGTGAGTGTGCGTGTGCATGCCTGCAAGAGAATTGGTGCATTTGTGAATCGGTGCAAGGGTGGGTATGTATATACACTTGTGAATGTTACGCAGTTGTATATATGTGAGTCATGTGTGTCTGGGCTAAGCAGGTGTATGCCTGCACAGATCCACGTGTGTGCTCTAGGGGATCTGTGCAGAAATATCCGTGTTTAAGAAGCTATACTCTCTGCCTGGTGCATGTTTTCATAGCTGTGTGTGTTATTTGCATGTGTATGTGGGCATTTCTCAGTGCCTGCATACATGTGCATACAGCCATGTGAGTGTGAGTTTGTGCTATGCACTTACAGGCATTATGTATCTGCATGTTTTTTAATGTACCTTTGTGTGTGCCTCTATGTGCATATGTGTGTGTAGCATTGCACACCTGATTGTCTCTGTATGTGTGTGCATCTGTTTGTTCTGGTGTAATCTCTGTGAATGTCTCTGTGTAAACGTGTGTTTCTGAACGTGTGTATCCGTGAATGTTAGCATGTGCATTTGATTGTGTCTGTGTATACATGTGTGTTTCTGTGGGTGTGTGACTGTGTGTATTGCAGTGTGAACTTTTTGTGGATCTCTCGACATATACACAGGTGTTTCTGAGTGTATGTGCCTCTGTGTAGCATTGCACACTTGAGCGTATCTCTGTGTGTATGTGTGTGTTTGTGAGTGTCAGTATCTGGGTGTGTCAGTTGCAGCGTACATTTGAGTGTGTCTGTGTGCACGTGAGTGTCTCTGAAGGTGTATTTCTGTGTGTTCCAGTGTAACTTTTGTCTCACGTATGAGTGAATTTCTGAGTGGTGTTGTACTGTATCTTTTTGCACATCTCTGGGCGTACATGTGTGTTTTTCTGAGCGTGTTTGCCTGTTTGTACAGCAGTGTAACTTTTGTGCATGTCTGTGTGTATGTGTGTGCTTCTAAGCATGCACATCTCTGAGGGTGTGTCTGAGTGTCTCTAGGGGTATAAACAAGTGTGTGGGTGGAGGGGTGTGAACATACCTGTGAGCTTCCAAACAGAAACCATCTCTGAACATTTAAGATCACTCTTCTCCCTGCTCCTCAGGACTGAACTGTGCTTGTGCCGTGCACCTTCCGAGTGTTGATTCAGCAGTTGGTGCCAGCTCTGAGCAGAGTGTTGGATGATGCGTGCTCATTTTTCCAAGTGCCTTTGCCTTGCAGTGCTCCAAAGCCCGGTGTATCCCCCTGCCCCCGCCTCCCTCACCTTCTGTAACAGCCCAAATCTGTCTTGCCAGAAGCTTCTACTTAGGACGGCTGCTGAACAAACTCGCAGATGTTAAAAGCACAGGTATAATTTTAGGCAGAAGGTCTGAAAATAGGCAGCCTAGGATGTGCTGAACATCTCGACAGCAGTGTTTCTAATTAGGAGCAACTTGTTTTCCTTAAATAAACAAATCAAGTGAGGAAAGAAATTGCCCGAGATTAATGGCTCCCTGGAGCAGGTCCAGATGTTGGGAAGATAGGGACTGTGGTGGGGTATGGGTGGGTCTCTGGTTCCCCACGGACTGCAAGTGTTGCTGCTTAGGGGCCTTCTAGACTTTGCCCAAGAGCTGATGAGGCAGAACCTTGAGGTCAGGAGCTGGTGAGGAGGGCAGGACTGGGCCACTGTGGGGCCCCTTTTCAAGGTCCGCCAGTGCCTGGTTATTGGGATGGGTGCATCACTGTTCCCATTTCCTCCCTCCTCCCTGTATCCATGCCCTTAGCCATAAGACGTCACTGCTCTTCTCATTCAAGGAGCAGGCAAAACTTATGCCCCTGCCCCCTCCCTTTGGGGTTCGGCCATGTGACCAGGTTTGGCCATTAGAGTGAAGTGGAAGAGATAGTGTACCCATTCCAAGCTTAGGCCTTAGGGAACCTTGTGTGTTTCTGCCATGGCTAGGTGGAGAGCTGCCTTCTCAGCCTGGCCCTAGAATGGGCACATGTTAAGCCCAGACCTTGGTGAAGGGATGAGTCCAGCCAGTTTCCAGCTGGTCACAAGCAGATCGGCAAAATAAATGCCCCTCACAGGTATCTCACTGGGGTTTTCTGGTTGTTTGTTACACACCACTGTCATGGTCATAGCTAACTGATGCAGTTACCAGTAAGTCATCTTTATTTCCTTCTCCTGTTTGACCCTGGTACCTATTCAGAGGTGCATAATGAACACCTGTACTTTTCACTGTTGGTGTCCCATTCGTACCTTGCTTTCTGTCCATCCTAATATCAACACTAATAATGATAAGTACCATATACAAAGTGTTTACCAGGTGCACACACTATGCCAGGAGCTTTGTATTCATCTAGTCTTCTGTCAGAGAGATGAATGACTTGCCCAGGTGACACAGCTCAGAAGCCAGGCTTTCTGGGATTTGCACACAGATCACCTGATGTCAGAGACCGTGTTTTTAACCATGATGTCATATTGCCTCCCAGTGCCAGCAGGCATGTTTTATGTAACTGATGTCATAGCATACATTTGACATTTCCCCCCTTCACTCACCTGGAGGTTTGGTTCGCGGAAGTGAATCATGTCACAGAAGTGGGAATTGTCTATTTGAATGTGGTGAGATTTCTTCAGCCATCCATCCTTCCATCCGTCCGTCCATCCGTCCATCCATCCATCCATCCATCCTTCCATGCATCCATTCAAGTATTCATTCAGCATCAGTATTTGCTGATATTCAGTGTTTGCTCAGAATCTTCTCAGCATCATACTCTGTGCTGGGCACTGAAGATACAGAAATGAGAGACCCCAGCTCTGTCTTCAATGAGCTTACAATCTGAGGTAGAAGTAGGAGAACCTGGGTTATGGAGGCAGATGAAGCTGGGTTCCAGTCCAGACTTTACCCTTTACTGGAAGGAACTTCAGCCTCACCTCACTGGATTGTTGTAAGGATCAAACAAAGTAATTTGGCAAAGTCCTTCACACAGTGCCTTTCATGCTGGAAGCCATAATAAACAATAACTCCTCTTCCTCCTATTCTTTCTCCTCCTCCTCCTTATGGTGGAGACGGTTGAATGTCACTACCAGAGCAATGCAGAGATAAGAGAAAGTAGGGGCCTCCAGATCCCAGATAGGGTGACCAATCATCCTGACTGTCTGAAACTGAGATGTTTCTTTAGGATACTGGACTTTCAGTGCGAAAACTGGAAGAGTCCCACACAAACCAGGACAAATTGGTTACTCTCATCCCAGAGGAAATATTGGACCCAGCTTGGAATGGTCTAGAATAGAGGCCAACAAACTATGGCCCACAAGCCAAATCTGGCCCACTGCCTGTTTTTGTAAATAAAGTTTTATTGCAACTCAGCTAAGCCCATTCATTGGCTATTGTCTATGGCTGCTGTCAAGCTACAACAGGAATGTTGAGTATTTGTGACAGAGATCACATGGCCTGCAAAGCCTAAAACACTTACTATCTGGCCCTTTACAGAAAAAACTTGCTGACCCATGAGCTAAAAATCTCAGCCAGGGTCCTGAGCTTTGGACTAGGATGACCAAGGCAAAAATCTGATGGATTCGGCTGTATCATTGTGAGTCAGGTGACATATGGGGTTTGCATTCATCCACAGGTGAGGCATCTGAAGGGTCAGAAGAGGTGCAGTAACTCCAGAGACTGTGAGCTGGAGAATTCTTAGATGGAGAGATGGAGACCCAGAAAGGGAGAGAGACAACCCAAGGCCACATAGACAGTAGGAGGCAGGTGACAATGGTCCTGGGGGAAGAGTTTCTGAGTGGGAAGTGAAGAGGTCTGAATCCCAGCTCTGCGCCAACTGACTTAGTGGCCTTTAGCAAGTCCCATCTATAGAATGGGAGAGAAGTTACATATGATCACGAAGGACTTCTCCAGTGCAGCTTTTTATGGTTCCATTTTCTTTTCTAATTGGAGTAGCACTAAAGCCTTAATATATGTTGGCCTGTGCTCCAAGGTGGCCCTGCAGGACCCTGACCTGGGGACCTTCCTGATCACCGTAGCTTGTGTATGCAGGGTGTTTACAGTGCCTGGCATTGTAATCAGACTTCACTTCCATTCTCTCACTGAATCCTTGTGACAGTCCTGTGAGTTAAGGGACCCCAGTCTCCACTTGACCCATGTGGACACTGAGGCTCAGAGAGATTCATTCACTTATCTAAAGTCACAGAGCCAGCGCATGGCAGAGCCCACGTCTCTCTGACCTCAAAGCCCGTGTTCTCAGCTACTCCTCCCGCTGCCTCCCCGCTCTGTCTTTCCCAGGTGGGGGTGATGCACGGTTTCAGGAACTCCTCGGAGGAAGCTTTCCCTTTTCTCTCCCTCTCATTTGTTAACCTGGAAATGGCATGCACCAGGCCAGGTCCATCCCCACAGGCCTGAGGATAGTAAACATGGGTTTATCAGTGAGGCTGAGGCTGGGCAGGCTTGGGTGACTGAATGGCTGGAGGGTCCCCTGCTAGGACAGTTAAAGGCAGACTACTCAACAGGACTGGGGGCTGAGCATGCTGGGCTCTGGATTTGCAGGTTCATAGAAAGCCCCTAAGCCTCCAGAGACAGTGGATCACCCACATTTCTTCCCCACTTGGCTAAGATGGCCCTGATTTCTGCCTCTAGAATATCTGTTTACACTCCAGTGTCCTGGGCTCTTTGCATTTTGAAAGCCTCCCTGGTGGGACAGGTAGAAAAGCTAGAATCTCTGGAACAATTAGATTAGTTTTAATTTTCACATAGCTCTTAGGTGTATCACCATCATAACTGCATGCCATTTACCCTGGGAACTCAACTCTCTGTAAAACACAATAAGAAAGTAGTCTGATTTAATTACTCCAGTGCCCATATCAGAAAAGAGCCAGCATTCCCTCACTCAGGGCCTGTTTACTCTTTCTCTGCACACCATTGTGATGAGCTCAGTGACCTGATTTCCCAGGCCCTATAGCACATAGAGGAAGCAAGTGATGAGACTGTAGAATGGTAGAGAGTGCACAGTGACAGCAGGCAGAAGCAACAGCTGACAGCCTGGGAACAAGGGTGAAGATGAAGAGATTACAAAACTACGAAGCATGGAAATAAAAGAATGACAGCTTGGGGGAATTTAGTGTAGTGGTCCAACAACCTCATCCCGTAACTTCTGTCCAGCTGAATGTTATAGGACACTGAAATGGCCAGCCTCTGTGCTGGCCCCAAGAAATAGTTAAATCCTATTTAATAGGCAGGAGCAAGGGCAAGGAATAATTCATTGAATACAGTATTTGATCCCATGGCTAAACTAATAAATGTTTCTGTGTAGGTAGCCTCTGGTGTCTGAAAAATTCACGTACGTGGAACTCTTCATTTTTCACAATGTTGGATAAGTGACATCTAACTGTACCTAGACAGTGTCTGGTGTGTGATAGGTGCTCAAGAAATGAATATTCTTTGAAATCAGGCAAGTCTAGGTTCAGATCTTAGCCACTTAACAGCAGCCAATGGCTCCCTCTCAGCCTCAGTGGCATCCGCTATACACTGAGGACAGCTGTACATGAGCTACAACTGCTGCAGAAACCCAAAGCACCTTCTTGTCTGTGCATGGTAGAAGGAACAGCACCACAGCCTGTCTCATGACATTTGCTTTCAACTTCTATATCTCATGTGGGAGGTGGGCACATGCAGAAACCAGGCTGGAGAGGACTCTGAGAAGTGAGGTTCTATCGTTTGATGGCCAGCATGCGGGAAGACCCACCACTGGGACAGGACATTGGATGGAGTTGGGTGAGCCAGCCTGCCATAGATGCCCCGGCCTCAAAAAAATACGATGGCATCTTCATACATGTCCAGTAGCTGGGTAAAAAGATGCCCCATTTAACTCTGTTGTGCCTTAGGAGTGAGGGCTAAGAACTTGGGCTTTGGGATTGAACAGGTTCACTTCCGATCCCAGCTCGGTAGCTTATAGGCTGTGTAATCTTGAGCAGGTTGCATGAGCTTATGGTGCCTCCATGTCCTCGTCTGTAAAATGGCAATAATACCTACCTCATAGGGTTCTTACAGGGATTCAATGAGATCATGCTTATGTAGAGTAAGTACTCAACAATGGTCATCTTAGCCAGAAGATAAGTCATTTTCTCCAATGGGCATAACTAAGATTCTTCCTAGCACTAATGTGTCTGTGGGCATCTGTTCAGGACTCATGATGAATCAGTCATTTTCTGCCTCTTCACACCATCTGGGGCATCTCCAATAAGTTTTCTCTTTGAACTTCAGCTTCCTCTGCCATGAATGTTATTTAGTGATTTGCTTGATTCATAAACATATTTGTGCATCCATTCATTTATTTAACACTCCTTTATTAGGCACCTATTTCATTTCAGAGCTGCCAGGTCCTGTGCTGGGCCCTGGGAGATGAGCCCAACTTGATAGACCTGGGTAGCAATGCCCCCTGGGAGGACAGAGGAGACACCTGGGTAATTGTCCTGGGAGGGCAGCAGGCTTCATGTTCACAGCTGTGCCTCTGCACCAAGGTGGGACTGGTGCATAGTAGACGCTCAATGTTTGTTGAGAGAATGAATGAATGAGTGTTCTGTGCTTAGCACCATCAGATGGGTGGATCCTATTGCTATCTGAGCCCCAGAATTCTTGAGTCCCAGACTGAGAAGAGCAGCCTCAGCTTACCACCTTAGGAAAGAAAATAATGAAGGTGTGAGTTCCTGGATCATTCCTTAGGCATTGGAGGTCTATCTCCAAATAAAATTTGATAGTTGCATGGGATGGAATTAATTGGGGGAAACATACTTTCAAACAAGAGAGAATTTATGGCTGAATGACTTGTAGTAATTCTAGGAGGTGTTCTTCTTCTTGTTTCCATTTTTATGGAAGACTCCCTCACCAGCCCTTGTGAACTGGGGACTTGGAACAGACCCAATGCCTGCACCTAGGAAGAGTTTTCCCAGCTCAGGTTCAGGTGGGGAGGAGATTAGGGTCCAGAGTAGTACATGCTGCAAAGTGAGCGAATTCGAAGCTGTGTAGTTTTGGAGTCACCAACATGGGCTGTAGACTGAAACTGCTTGGCTTCACAGCCCAGATCAGCCACTTGCACACTCTCTAACTTTGGACAAGTGTCTTAACCCCTGTGCCTCAGTTTCTCATCTGTAAAATGGGGATAATAATAATGCATTCTCCAAGGGTTGCTATGAGTGTTTTATAAGTGAATTCACATAGAAGCCCAGCACAATACCTAGCACATAGTAAATGCTCAGAACAATATTCATCATTATTAGTAGGGAGAGAACAAGCCCATATGAGGTTCTGAAATGTCAGAATGGGACATGGCAGGTTTTAAATAACAGAAACTCTCTCACACTGGCTGAAGCCAGTGGCGAGTGAGCAGGAACCTAGCTCAGCAGTGAAAAGCTGAGAAGAGGCACCAGGCTTGGGTTAGAGAGACCATCAGCTGATCACACAACCTTGGGCCACTGGCGTCACCTTTCTGTGCCTCAGTTTCCTCACCTGCAAAAGAGAGAGGGTGAGCTGATGTGTCTAGGATTGCTGTGAAGATGACGTGACCTTATGCATGGAGAGTTCTCAGCCCAGGGCAAGAACTCAGAAGGTACACGGGGTAGAATGATGGCATCATCCCGAGTCACGCCCAGGGTCAGCCTGCCTGGGTTTCAATCCTAGCTCTGCTGCTTCTCAGCTGAGTGGCCTTGGGCTGTGAGTTAACCACTCTTCGCCTCCGTTTCCTCGTTTTAAAACTGAGATACAAAACTGGAAGGGCTGAGTGAAGATTCAATGACCTAAAATGGCGCCTAGCATATGGTACAGGTTACATAAGTGCCAGTTAGTAACATAATGATTGTGATTGGGTGGCTTTTATTTCAGGTCTTGTCAGAGGTGAGCTACATCATAGAGTGGTGAGGCACCTCCTTACTGTCTATGAGCAGAGTGAAGAGGCATGGGGATTCTCTGGTCATCAGGGCCTCTCCCCATAATCCATCCTGGCATAGCTTTTACGGCAACCTGCTGCTCTGTCTGTCCGCCTGATTTTGGGCACTGGCTGATCATGAGAGGTAAACCTGTGTGTCACTCAAAAAGAACCAGGTAGTAGTAGCTGGGGGCCCACACAGCTTGTTCCTCAAGTGCTGGGGATTGAGGTGTCAGTGTCTTCTCCCCTGGACCGCCCAGATCTTCTGCCCTCACCCCTCATGATCCCCCAGCCAGGGGCCTTTCCTGCCCCCTGACCCCCTGCCAGCCCCTGCTACAGTCCTGAAGCCTTGGGCTGCTGTGATCACTGTCCCTGTGAGTGTGAACTTCAGCAGAGCAAGGCTGCCAGCTCTGGAAGGGGTCCCAGGGAGCAGCCGGCCAGCCCTCCCACCCCCTGGGCATCGTGGCAGAGCTGGGACTAGAACGTGGGCCTTTCACATCCTGATCCATGACAGGTCCTGCGGCCCCTTCGCTCCCATGCTGCTTTTCAGCGTGAGCGGATGAGTTCCCTATGGCTACGGGAAACAATGTCCATAAAGGTAGTGGCTTGAGCAAGACAATCTTTACATTCTTTTCTTTTCTTTCTTTCTTTACTTGTTTCTTTATTTTTTAGAGATGGAGTCTGTATCACCCAGGCTGGAATGCAAGTGACACGATCATAGCTCACTGCAGCCTTGAATTCCTGGGCTCAGGTGATCCTTCCACCTTAGTCTCCCAAGTAGCTGAGACTTACAGGCAAGTGCCATCACACCCAGCTAGTTTTTAAAAACTTTTTGTTCTTTTTTGTTTGTTTGTTTTTGTGATTTTTAAAAAATTTTTGAAGAGATAGAGTCTCACTATATTGCCTAGGCTGGTCCCGAACTCCTGGACTCAAGCGATGCTCCTGCCTTGGCCTCCTGAGTAGCTGGGACTACAGATGGCCACCACCATCCCCGGTTCTAAACAATACAAATTTACTATCTGCCAGTTCTGGAGGTTTGAAGTCTAAAATGGGTCAGCAGGGCTGGGTTCCTTTTGGAGGTTCGAGGGGGAGAATCCACTCTCTTACCTTTTCCAGCATTGGAGGGCTGCCCATATTCCTTGGTTCATAGCCCCAAGCCACTCTGATGTCTGCTTCCGTCATCACATCTTTGTCTCTGGCTGCGACTCTCCATCAGGACCCTGGTAATGACATTGGGCCTATTTGAGTAATCCAGGATAATCTCTCCATCCCAAAATCCTCCACTTAGTCACATCTGCAAAGTTTCTTTTACTAGGTAAATGTCTCATAGTCACAGGTTCCTGCTTTTGGGGTCGGGGAGCTGGTATATGATGAAACTGGAATGTCCTCAGGGCCTTGTGAGCCCCTCCCAGCAGTGGGAAACCTTGTAAAGAGTTTAAGTAAAGTGGAGTTGAATGATTCCATTAAACCCTGGCCAGAGCAAGAAGAAGAAAGGCCTCCAAGCTGTCCCCGTCAACTTGAGATGGGAGCCTATTGAAATCCCTGCAAAGAGCAGAGAGAACAGGGTGATTTCAGCTTCATTATGCAAAACACACAGCCTTCCAGGGAGAGGTGAGCTTTGGAGAAAAGAGTCAACAAATTAGTTTCTTAATCTGCTTTAAGTTGCTAAAATGCCCCCGTCTCCCTTCCTTTGTCACCTGATGGGCCTGTGGGCTATTTTAACTTTTATTAGAACATTTTTATTTTTTTATTAAAGGAGCTTTTCCTTTTTGAAAAACTAATCCCAGCTGTGTTTTGATAAGGTAGAATTAAAAATGGCACTGGGTAAATGCCACAGAAAGCTTTGATTTTTCTTCTTATGGCATCTGAACTGATTTAAATAACAATTATGTATTTCATTTTTATGTAGCCTCCTCTACTCCCTCCCTGGCCTCCTCAAAACACCACAGGTACCTGCAGCTCTGAACACATGCTATTTCTAAAATCTCCAACCCTCAGCTCCTGGAGGCAGAGGGACAGCCCTATAAGAGACCAAGATTTCTAACCCAGCAGCTTCAGGTGTAAGGCAGATCTCGCTCAAGTACAAGTGCTCCAGTTCACAGTTGTGTGGCCTTGGATAATTTACTTCAATCTCCTTGGCCTCTGATTCCTCATATACATGAGTAAAATAGAAATAATGATAGTGTTTGCATTCATCTGGATTCTGTTGGTTGTAGGTGACAGAAAACCCAACTTAAACATCCTTACACTCTTTTATTCTCAGGCATAAAATGAAATTTATTGGCTTATAAAACTAGCAACCTAGCTTCAGGCTTGGCTGGATCCAGGAGCTTGACATCTTACAGGTCTCTCTTTCTGGTCACCTCTCTCTTTTCCTTCCTTTCTCCTTCCTTCTCTCTCTCTCTCTCTATTTTTTTATTTCTCTTTAGAGACAAGGTCTTGCTCTGTCACCCAGGCTGGAGTGCAGTGGTGCTGTCAAAGCTCACTGCCTCGACCTCCTAGGCTCAAGAGATACTCCTGCCTCAGCCTCCTTAGTAGCTGAGACTGTAGGTGGGTGCCACTGTGCCCGGCTAATTTTTAAAAAAATTTTTGCAGAGATGGAGTCTCGCTTTGTTACACAGGCTGGTCTCAAACTCCTCGCCTCAAGCGATCCTCCCACCTTGGCCTTTCAAAGTGATGGGATTATAGGTGTGAATCACCGCATCCAGCCTCTCCGTCATGCTTCACCAATCTTTTGGCTCCCATTTTCTCTGTGTGGGCTTCATTTTAGACTAGCTATCTTCTTCTAAACACAAATACCCATCAGTCTCTAACTACTTATATTGTGGCATCTGAAAGCCCAGTTCCAGCAATTCTGAAATTGAGACCTACAGCCTCCTGGCACCTGTCACAGTGACTAGGGAAATGATCGCTGCTGTTTGATCAGGTCAGGGTCATGTGATCAACCATGACACCTCTTTGGGGGAGGGGCATGAATTACTGTCTGTGGCTTCCTGAGCCACAAAGACCAATAGCTGGGGAGGGGGTGGGCCCCCAGTGGAAAATCAGAACCTAGTTAACCAAGGAAAGGGAAGAGATAACTGGTCAGACTAAAATGACTGGTCAACAAGCCATCTAGTCCCCATCTCAGAGCCTTGCTGTGAGGATGATATGAGATCAGGCATGCAAGGTACTTAGCACTGCCCCCAGCGTGCAATGTGCCTGGTAAATCACGCCTATTATGACTGATGTTACAATTGTGATTATTCTCAGCATGGTGATAATATAGGCCAGACAGGGGCCCGTCAGTATCCAGGGCGATGGGAGGCACTCCACATCCTGAAGACTCAACCTGAACATCCCACTAAACCCTGTGTAGCCTTGGATCAGTCACTTCCCTCCCATTTGGTTGACAAAAGTGGCTGTTCCCTAGCAAGCCCCCAGCTCCTGTGTCAGTTTATCAGCGGAAAGCTGTGATGGCACCAGGGATGCAGGGGGGCGGTCACAAATCCAGATGCCTCCAGGACAGGTGGGTCCCATAGGCATGAGACAGGCAGGAGGACTATGGTGAGCCAGAGACCAAGTGCCCCATCCACGGGGCACAGCTTCTCCCAGCCCCAGCCCCAGCCTATTGTTGCCACACAAGAATGCCTGCCCAGGATGGTCCACATATCTTGATTTTTTTTTTTCCAAGAGAATTCCACTAATTCGGGCAATTTTAAAACCTAGGGCAGGCTAGATGAGTGTGTCTGTGAGCCCTGTTGGACCACTTCTTGTAAAGCCAAGTCTCCTCAGCATGTGGGACCCAGAGCCTGTACTGTCTGTACGTTGAGAGCTCGTGTTATGGATGACCTCAAAAGACACACCGGCCCATTGTTCTACAAACCTGGGTCATACGCGTTATGCATTCAGCATCCTTTTTCATGGCCATGGGAGCACCTGTCTTCCTCTGAGCTGTGCCATTTGTAATAGGCTTTGAGGATGGAATTCAGCGAGAATGGCTGCTTCGAAGCAGTTCATTTTGCTGCCTGAGCTTATTAATGTTCTCTCTGATTTCCTGCTTCACACTATTGATTTCCTGGGATAAAACTCTCTCTGCAGAGGCTGAGAAGGTAATTCAGCTGTCGTCCTTATGTGTGCGAGAGGATTCTATCCTAGCTCTCTCCCAGTTTGTAGCTGTGTGTTGGAGAGCAACTCACTTCACCTCTCTGAGTCTCAGTTTTTTCATCCGTAGCATGGAGACCCTTGGAGCTCCTGCCTTCTAGGTGTCAGGAGCATGATAGGTACACAACAAAGCTTAGCTCCTCCTGTAAAACTGCAGCCCCAGCAGCCTGGTGAAAGGGAGTGAGATAATGATGCCTCTTATTGTGAGTGAGCACTCACTCCATACCAGGCCCTTTCCCAGCACAGCCTCCTTTACTCCCCCAGCAGCCCTGAGTGGTGGCTTTCCCATCACTGTCCTCTTTTTCACAGATGAGGAAACTCTGAGAGGCAAAGAGACCTGCCTAAGCTCGCACAACTCGGACATGGCAGAGCCAAGATTTGAACTCTGGCCTGCCTGAATCCAGGCCCTGCCTCTTGTGACAGGGCCTTGCATTTCAAGGGAACCGGTTTACATTTGCACTGGCTGCATCCATGAGCACCAAGGATCCCTGAGCAGTGAAATCCAGGCCCAGCTCTGCTACTCACTTACTATGTCATCTCAGGAGACTTTCTTGACCTCTCTGGGCCTTTGTTTCCCCCAGCTCCTTAAACACACCTTGCTGCCTCCCACCTCAGGACCTTTGCACATACTGTGCCCTTGCCCAGCATGCTTTGCCACTCAACCCCCACCCCTCTTCACCTAATTAACTGCAGCTCCTCCTTCAGGTCTTGGGTGAAGCATCACTTCTGGAAATTCCTCTGGGGCTCCCCTTGGCATGTGCTCTCCAAGCTCCACAGCATTCCTTAAGGCTTTGTGATTACAGCGTTGTGTGTTGATCTAACCAACCTGCAACCCCTCTACCGGACTGTCTGCTTTTGGGGGTCAGGGAACCAGCTGGGTCTTGTTCAGTAGGCTTCCCAGGCTAACATTCCAAGCCTGCCACATATGTACAACAAAACTGTGGAGTTAATAGACGGAGTTCAAAGAGGCCTTAGGACCCTCATGCGCTGCTGGTGGGAGTGTGAATTGGTACAACTGCTTTGCAAAACTGTTCAGCAGTATTTATTTAGGCAGCACAATACATGCCCTATGACTCTGCTGTTTCATGTCAAGATATACACTCAACAGAAATCGGTATACACATTCTTTTATTGCTTTATAATACTCATAACTGTGAAAAACAGGAACTGCTGAAATGTCCATTATGGTAGAATAGATAAGTAAAATAAGGTTTAGACATACCAAGGAATAGTACACAGCAGTGACAATGAACAACCTACAGCTATAATCCATGAAAGGAGGCATTGTGCGAAAATAATGGTGAGTGAAAAAACCAGCTACAAAAGGGCACATACTACAGGATTCTTGTTATAAAATGCTCAAAAGAGAAGCTAAACTACATTATAGTGTTTAGGGATGCAGGCATGCTTTGGTGGAAACATAAAAACAAGGAAGAAATTACCACCATCGTCCTGAAGGTAGTTACCTCGACTGGAGAAGGAGGGGGGCATGTCATTGGAAGGGGTCTCAAGGTGCTGGCAGTGTTGTTTCTTGCCCTGGATGGGAGTTACATGGGGTGTGCATTCATTGTGCAAACTGCACATCATTGTACATGATGCAAATTGTACATCTTTGTTTTATGTTATCTTCTGTATTGTGGTAATGAAAAACATCCCTTCCATCCCCCAAGATAATTATCTTTGGGGGCCCCCATCCACCAGGACCATCATTGGTTGGGCTTTATGCACAGAGAGCATCCTCTGAAATCCTGTTTTAAGCCAAGTTACTCTGTAGTTGAGTGTGGGTGCGCCCCACTCTGTCCTGTCATTCCCCCAGGGGTTCAGATTTACATGTGTGAAAAGAACCAGAGCAGCTTTTGTCCTGGCACAGAGGCCACCTGCCTGGAGGATACAGTTAGCCCCTTTTCTCAGAACATGATAAGGATGGAGGATTGATTTCACCAGAAAGTATTTTTAAAAGAAAATACGAAAGAAAAAGAAAACTAAAACCTGGGGAGAAGCATTTTCAGATACCTACTTTTGCAGGCCAGGGAGATAAACTGTCCCAGATGGAGCTCAGGTGACAGGGCTGGGCAGGGATTTGAATCAGGACACAGGGCTCCAAGGTGGGGCAGCTGAGGCCCAGGCGTAGGGTGGGCTGGCGTCCAGGTTCAGGAGAACTAGGTCTTTGGACTCAAATGCTCCAAGTGTTCTCCAATGGCCTTGACCTCCCTTTCTGCACAGACTGACAGGTTGGCCTGGGCCCTGGCTAGAGAGCAGAGACGCTGTGATTTTTATAGGTCCTTCAAGCTCAAGTCAGGATGGATCAGGGTTAGGGTCTTCCAGAGGTTCCCAAAAGTCCGGCCAGTCCTTTTGGATTATTAACTCATTAACAATGAACTTCATCCATACATACAAAACATTTATACATCTCTTGCCATTTATTAAACAGATAGTAATTGAGCTTAGCTGGACCTAGACTCTGCTAAACATCAAGTATATAATGAGAGTGACCAACTGGTTGCGGTTTGCCTAGGATTTTCCCACTTTTAGCACCGAATGTGTAACCGGCCTGGGAAACTGGATCCCAGGCAAACCTGGATGGTGGGTCACCCTGGAATGGTGAGCAAGAAGCTCTGATGCCCACCTGCACAGAGCTCAGGTGGAGGAGACAGGACATCACAGACCAGCATGCTCAGCAAGCACTTTGCTTGAGGAAGCTTCCTGGAGGAGGTGGCATCTGACCTGAGCCACTCAAGAGAAGCAGGGTCAGGCGGGGGTAGAGAGTGGAAAGGAGACGAAGACTGGGGAGCCTGCAGGGCTCATGTCATGGTAGGCCTTTGGGTCAGGGTGGGTGCTAACAGCCATTGGGAGCCATGTGGGCTTAGAGGTTAGAGAAGGGAATAGAGGTGTAAAATTTCTATTTAAAGACTCTCCTGGCTGCTGTGTAGGGAACAGGGGAGGGATTGGCAGGGGAAGGGAGGGTTACTAGCGGATATCAAGGGACGCTTGGATTGGGCTGCCCTACTCATTTATTCTTCTAGACACTCAGGTCAGAAATGTCAGGGACAGCGGGTATGGTGGCTCATGCCTGTAATTCCAGCACTTTGGGAGGCTGAGGCAGGCTAATTGCTTGAGCTCAAAAGTTTGAGACCAGCCTGGGCAATGTGGCAGAACTCTGCCTCTACAAAAAAATTACAGAAATTAGCCGGGTGTGGTGTTGCACACCTGTAGTCCCAGCTTCTTGGGGAGCTGAGATGGGTCGAGGCTAAAGTGAGCTATGATCACACCACTGCACCCCAGCCTGGGAGACAAAGTGAGACCCTGTCTCAGAAAAAAAAAAAAGAAAAAAGAAAAGAAAATGACCATACTCTTTCTCTCCTACCCTACATAAGATCTTTGGTAAATCCCATCACCATCACTTTCACCCCCTCCATCCCATTCCTGGCCTCTTCTACCACAGCTCTGTCTTTTCTCCATAACTCTTATCACCTTCAAATCCACCCTGTGAGTGACTTATTTATTTTGTTTCCTGCCTGTGTCTTCCCTCTAGAACAGAGTTTTGCCATGTTGGCTTTATTGACATTTTGAGCTGGGTCATTCTTTGTGTGGCGTGGGGCCGACCTGTGCATTGTAGGATGTTGAGCAGCATCCCTGGCCCCCTACCCAGTAGATGCCAGTAGCATGATTTCTGTGACAACCAAAAGTCATCTCCAGACATTTGCCGAACACCCCCTGAGGTGGGGAAGGGGTGGCAAAACCACCCCCATTTGAAAACCGCTGCACACAAAGCCTGGGATGTTTGCCTGTGTATTTGCCAATGTAGCCCCAGTACCTAGAAAGGGGCCTGGCTTTTGTGGTGCTCACTACGTGTTTGTTGAATGAATAAGTGAGTGTGGTGTGAGGTGATGAGGCCTGGGCTGGGACAATGGCGGTGGGTAGTGTGGGAGGTAAGGGTTTTGGAAACAGTTCAGTGATAGAATCAATTAATAAATGGAATTATCATTATACTTATGATGGTGATCATTCTCATCCACTTCATTATCCTCTCCAGGGCTTGAATTCCTCTCATCATATGATGGAGGAAGATCAGAGAGGTTAGGGGTAACATGATGTGAGTAAAAACCACTCAGTAATGAGTGGTAGAACCAGGCTGGAACCTAGGTCTTTGGAAGTCTTTGCAAGCGTTAGATGATGTCATACAGTAACAATGACTGCTGTTTATTGAGCTCTTACTAAGTGCCAGAAACCGGGCTAAACATTGTGTATGGATCACTTCACTGAAGCCCCTGACAATATCCTGTGATTACTGTTATCATCCCATTTTTACAAATGAGGCCTCTGAGGATCAGAGAGGTGGAGTGAGTTGCCCACAGTCACACAGCAGATGTGGAGCTGGGCATGTCTGACTCAGAGTCTGAGGCTGATTTCAAGGTGGGGGTCAAGGAGACACAACCCACCTTCAGGTAATAGGCATCACCCCAATGTCCCTTTCCTTTCTGTTTAGTCAGCAGAGGAGACATGATCAAAGGATTCTCACTGGCGTGCTAATTATGGAAGGCTTCACTTTAGAGTGATTTGCAGGAAACCCTGTAAAATTCACAAAGACCCCTGGTCATGTGAAACCTCTTTGTCCTTAACCTTGATCTCCCTGGCCCAGTGGGATGGGCAGGGACTGAGCAGAGAATGGGACTGCGGGATTGCAACAGATTTGCAGTCAAGCTAAACATTGGGAAACCTCTGAGCAAATGGAGGGTCTTTTATTTCTTTTCACCCAAAGACAACAGAGACTCGATGTTAACTTAATTAAATGCTGGAATGGAAGCCAATCACAACACTGGCTTTGCAGTTTAAACAAACAACCAAACAGACAAAAACTCCCTACATTTTACCACTCTCCCTTTTTGGAAATCTCCCCAGTAGGCCTGTCAGAAGCTTTCAGTATGCACCAACATCGGCCCCCACCAGCCAGGCCCCCATTCCTGTGATGAAAGTCCTGTTGAGGGCCCACTTGACAGATGAGGAAGCTGAGGCTGAGCCTTCAGTGCTCAGGCAGGGGGATGCTCTCTGGAGGCCAGAGTATTTTATTCACCACTACATATAGCCCCAACAAGATGGTGATGGTGTGACCATGATGTGTCCCCCACCCCGCCACACACACACAATTAGGCTGTGTGCTACTTATGCGGAAACTTGGTAAACAAGTATTTATTGAGCACCTGTTGTAGATACAACAGTGAACAAGACAGACCCAGTTCCTATCCCCTGGCTCTTACAACTTGATTTTAACAAACCCTTAGGTTCCGCCTCCCATGCCCCAGGCACTCTTCTCAGGACATCACGTACACTGGCTCATGTGATGTTCTCCACAACCCTAAGAGGTAAGAACTATTATTGTTCCCATTTCACAGACAAGGAAATGGAGGTCCAGTGAGGTCGGGCAATTTGACTTTGGATGCTTGGCCCAAGAGTTCATGCTCTTAACCACCATGCTAGTGATGGTAATAATAATAATTATAATCATGATGATGGATTATTATGTGCTGGGCATTTGCTAGGAGGACCTCATTTAATCCTAACAACAGCCCTATGAGGGTGGTGTTATTATTACCCTCATTTTATAGATGGGAAAACTGAGGCTCTGAGAGGTGCGGGGGTTTGCGCTACGTCATGCAGTTGGTGGCAGAACCAGGGTTTGAACCTGCCTTTGACTGATGCCAAAGGCTGTGCTCTTAACCATTCTTCTATCTTTCCCCTCTGGGCAGAGAATGGAGTATAGAATTCACCCCCTCTAATTGTAAATAAGTTCTTTAAAGGAAGTATTGTGAGCTTTCCAAAGGGAGAGGCTAGAGTGTTACGAGAACATGGAGGAGGGAGACTTGGTTTATTTCGGGGGACTGAAAGGGTCTCTCCCAGGAAGAGGTGTGGAGTCTAGGATGGGAAGGATGAGCGGGACTCAAGCATGCAAAGGAGTGTGTGTGGTGGGGATATTCCAGTGTGAGGGATGGATTTGCAGAAAGTCCCCTACAGAGGGTGGAGTTGGAGTATGGTAGGAACACAGCATGCCTGGCCGGAGCACAGAAGCAGAAGTAAAGAGGATGCAGTGACACAGGAGAGAGGCAGGCAGGACCCCGATATGCAGTCGGTGCTCAGTGTATGCTTGGGAATGGATCCACTTTGACCTTCCCTTTGGCACTCTCTCTGCCCACCCTGCCCGGATACGACTGCCCCCGCACACAAGTCCAGGTGCCAAGCCCAGTGGGGTTGCTGCTGGGGCTGAATGTTGCTGGGCCCAGCAGGCACTTGAGCAGACCTCTGCGAGAAGCTCTGGAAAAAAGGCCCCTTGTTGGAGCCTTCAGGAGCCAGCCTCCTGGTGCAGCCTGGCTTCGGTCCCCACCTCACAACCCTTCCTCTGACCTGAGTTTCTCCTTGGATCTGGGCTCCTGCCATCTGAGCGTGAGCCCACGCCCTGGCCCCTTGGTGCCCCGGTGCTCAGCTTCTGCTTGGCTGAGTCCAGTGTGGTCAGCACTCGAGCTTCCCTCACTGTCCCTCACTCCTTCCCTGTGCCATCTCCCAGGGAGCTCACTCCCATGAGGTCCCGCAGATTCATCTACTGGTCAAACTGCTGACCTACCATCTACTACAGGCTTTCTCATCCTCAACCCTGTTGACATTTGTGGTGAGATAATTTCTTTCTGCGGGTGTTGGGGGCTGCCCTGTGCATTGCAGTGTGTTGAGCAGCATCCCTGGCCTCTGCCACTAGATGCCTATAGCACCTCCTCCTCAATCATGACAATAAAAATGTCTCCAGACATTGACAAATGTCCCCTTGATGCAGGTGGAGAGGGGGAAAAATTGGCCCCAGTTAAGAACCACTGGTTTGGGCCAATCATAATACATTCCCTGGGAACTGGCAAATGACCTCCTCCCCAGGGGTGGGGGTTCTATTGGCTAGGAAGAGGGAAGAGATGGAGTACAGGATTCACTGAATCAAGATCAGAAGTGGATTCAACTCTTATTATGTATTTGGGGAAATTGATGTTCAGAGGGGAAGGGACTCGCCCAAGGTACACAGCCATTTAGAATAAAGTCAAGATTAGAATCTAGGCCTAACTCTGCCATGCCTCCTGATCCATGCAGCCCTCCTGGGAATCTCCCGGAATGCCATGAATATTGATTAACCACACACTCACTGGGGACTCCCTTGAGGCCACTCTCTGGGACCTGATCTAGTTCCCTCTCTCTCACCTCTGAGGGTTTTTTGAGATGAAAACCTACTCCATGGGCTAATGACCAATTAATTGCTCTCTTTGGACAGATAACACTTCTCATCTTTTTCTAGAATTGTGTTTGCCTCCCCTGAGGTCAAGCCAGTTCTTTCCAACATTCTCTCAGCTCCCTCCCAGCCCTCCTCCTGCACACACTGGCCCAGACGGGAGAATGGCTCTGCGATAGGAGGGCCATCGATCTCCTTCCAAGGGCGGCGTCGCTGCTCTCCTGGATCCAGCTCCAGGCATCAGGGACGCTGCAGTTGCTCTCACAATGAGGGCATTTAGCTGCACTCTGATCCCCCCGGGAAACGCTCAGAGGAAACCCGAGGAAGGGCCAAGAGGAAAAAGAAGAGAAGCAAAACCCAGCAAAACTGCCCATTCTGAGTGTGCTGCACTTGAAGAAGGAGGCCTAGCCAGCTCCAGTTTCAGAGATTTTTAGAAAGTGCCTCTGTTTGGCTTGGTTTCCCCATTGGTGGGCTGTGACCAAGGAAGGATAAAGTGAGAGCCCCATTCAGGCCAAGGCAAGGGTTCAACCTGAGCAGGGCAGGGTGGGAGGCCAGGAGAACAAGGGCTCTGTGTGCTCCTGGGCACAGGACATGTGCGCTGGGCTCCCACAGGCTCCAGCCAGGCGCTGGACACAATCAGAAACCCACGATGTGGCCAGAGAAATACAGGGTCGGGCAGGTGCTGATGCTGTGTAATTCAGCCCTGAATAGTGCATTTTCAGGGTGAGCCACATTAGGGATGATGACGAACTTCCCCTCTTGGTGGCAGAGCCTGCTCTGGGATAAAGATGAGTCCCAGGAATTAACCGGGGCCATCCCAGAAGCCCGAGGGGCCTTTGGAGGCCAGGTGGGTGGTATAAGAAGGGCCTGTTGCAGACCATGGCAGAACAAGGAGCCCATGCCACATCTGGAGGCTCAGCTTACCAGAACCAATCTATATGCTAGGTTCAGATCCCTAAACTCAGGCAAGTGGTTTAACCTTTGTGCCTTTGTTTCCCCATTTAAAACTGAGTTTGGCTGGGCATGATGGCTCATGCCTGTAATCCCAGCACTTTGGGAGAGAAGCCAAGGTGGGCAGATCACCTGAGGTCGGGAGTTCAAGGCCAGCCTGGCCAACATGGTGAAACCCTGTCTCTACTAAAAAATACAAAAATTAGCCAGGTGTGGTGGTGCACACCTATAACCCCAGCTACTTGAGAGGCTGAGGCATGAGAATCGCTTGAACCTGGAGGCAGAGGTTGCAGTGAGCCGAGATCACACCACTGCACTCCAGCCTGGGTGACAGAGTGAGACTCTGTCTCAAACAAACAAACAAACAAACAAACAAAAACTGACTTAGCACGAGTACTTACATTGTAGAATTGTGAGGATTAAAGAAGTTAACACAGAAAGCACTTAGAATGGTGCAGCTCATTTTATCTTTCAAGAGACCTAGAGACTGGGTTTGTATTTAAAAGCTCCCACTGGCTCAATGTTAGTGATGAATTCAAGTCAAGAAAATAATTAAATAAAACCTGTGCTCTGTGGATCTCTGTAGCCCCATACTCCATGAGCCATCCTGGCAACCTCTGGCGGAGGGTTTTAGACTCAGCCTCCACCACTGTCTCTACCCCTCATTGGTTCCTAACCTTGGAAGAGTGATGGCACTTGTCTGTGCTGCGTCTGCATTTTCTGCAGTATCAGTGGGGATGCTGGTAAGAGTTAGGGCTTATAACCATAGGGGCAGGATGTGGGAAAATCACAAGGGATGGTGCAGCACCCCAGAGTTAGCAGTAGTGGGGAGCTATATTCACCCCCAAGCCTGAAAAGGCAAAGTGCAGAAACCTAGAAAAATTAGCTCTATGGAGAGGGTCACCTGCAGTGCCATGTTCTTTGGTAGAGGGGCTCAGCCAACCCTGGTGGCTGCACAGAGGGAGAGGTGATGGGGAAAGAAATGTACGCCCTGACCATCCTTGACCCAGCTTCCAATATCCTGCCAGGGCCTCCCGTTGGCCAAACTCTAGTGGAAGTTAGGGAAGCAGAAAGCTCATTGATGTGGTTCCCCCAGGCCACCTCCAGGTGGACAGCAGGGCAGTTGAAGGGGAAGAGCGTGTCTCGAGGGGCAAATGGAAGACAGCAGACAGATCTGAGAAATGGGAGTGGTGGTGGTACTGCTTGCCTTGATGCTGCTGGAAGGTTTTTCTTAGTCTAGATGAAGTGTGATGCTCAACACATGGCTGTAAAGCATTAAGTTGAAGGTATTTCTGTTGTTACTGATTTAGAGAAAGCAGAGGCACCAGGAGGGAAGGTCAGGGCCCCCTGAGTGTCCTCAGAGTGGGTAGATGGTGTCCTGGAGTTGCGAAGGGTGTATTAGTTTCCAATAGCTGCTGTAACAAATCACCACAAACCTGATAGCTTAAAACAGCACGCATTTATTCTACTACAGTTCTGAAGGTCAGAAGTACAACATGGGTCTCACCAGGTTGGCATGACTGAGTTCCTTCTGGAGGCTCCAGAGGAAAATTGGCTCCTTGCCTTTCCCAGCTTCTAGATGTTACCCACATCCCTTGGGTCATGACCCCTTTTCATCCTCAAAACCAGCAATTGTATGCCTCTGGGCTCTGTTTCTGTTGTCTTCTCTCCTTCTCCGACTCTGACCCTCCTGCTGCCCTCATAAGGATGCTTGTGATGATATTGTATCCATGAGATAATCCAGGATAATCTCCCCTTCTTAAGATTCCTAGCTTAATCACATCTGCAAAGTCCCTTTTGCTTGCATGACAGGTCACATATTCACAGGTTATGGGGATTAGGACACGGATATCTTTGGGGTAGCATTCTACTCACCACAAAAGGGTTCCAGGAGGCTTCTCAGAGGAAAGGCATCTTCCCACTGTCGTGCACAAGAGTCCAGAATCACCTCCATTAACATTTCTTTTTCGGATTAATAATGTCCACAAACTCCAGCATTTATTAACCTATCTTCAATAATTTTCCCAGAGCTGCATATTTTTCATGAATCCAAATGAACTCATTATTTATTATTGCTTCATTCTAAGCAATAATACATATGCAATCAAGGTGTGATGGGCACTTATGATTTTTGTAACTATTCCCATTAAAATAATTACATAACTATTGACATTTTAAGAAGAGTTTATCTGTGTACTACCTAGAAGTACCACGTGAGACATGGCGAATATGCCCCAGATCCCAGCCTGCAGCTACGGGGTAATGTTGTGGAAAGGATTCTGAAAGAGGAGTGAAGAGACCTGGGTTTTGGTTCTGGATCTGCTGTGACCTCAGCCAAGTCACATTCTTTTGTGGGGCCTCAGTTTCCTGATCTATATAATGGGGACAATTCCTAAGGTTAACTCCAGCTTAGATATGATAAGGTTTTGCTATTAGCATATTAGTATGTTGGAAGTGGGAGAATGGGGCACAGGACAGGTAAGTTTTGATATGGATGGAAGAGAGTTGGTATATGGGGGTAGTGTTAGGGGCATGATTGTGGCCCCCGTACCCTAGGACCAGAATTACTGTTCTTCCTGATGCACAGCTAGTACCATATGCATACACCAATCAGGGCTCTCAGCAGGGAGACAAAATTTTATTCAGCCATGTGTGTCTTATTAAGCCTAGAATAAGGACACGTTATATTTTCTGGTTGTTGAATGACTGATTGACTGACAGAAGAAATGGCAGTATGATTCTTGTGATAGTCCCAAGAGGTCAACACTGACTGAAAGGCCTTGCTTATGACTGGAAGACCCCAGGAGACTTAGTGGTGGGTATGTGATCTCTGTGAGTCAGAGACCTAGGTTCAAATCCCAGCTCTACCACTTGTGAGTTTTGTGACCTTGGGCAGTTTACATCACTTCTCTGAGCCTCATTGTTCTTATCTAGATGATGGAGATAAGAATAGTACCTCCTCTGTAAGTTTGTGGTGAGATTTAAATGAGATAATCTATGCAAAGAGCACAGCCCAGTGCCTGGCACATAGCTCCATAAATATTAAGAATGACAAATACTATTGTTATCATTCTGCCTCCCATATTGTCTGGGAAGATGAAGATGATCTGAAAAGACTCCCAGCCTCTCCCAGGCTATTCAAAAGATTCAGGGAACTGTTGGAGACCCCACATAGGAAGTGGCATGTTGAGTTCTTTCAAATATACATCGACACCACCCAGGCTGTGCCCCCCACACACATACCAACGAGCCATCTGCTGAAGTTCAAATATTG
This sequence comes from Homo sapiens, assembly GCF_000001405.40. Taxonomy (NCBI): domain Eukaryota; kingdom Metazoa; phylum Chordata; class Mammalia; order Primates; family Hominidae; genus Homo; species Homo sapiens. Next base: position 108,156,027 of record NC_000012.12, read on the forward strand.
TTCAAATGTAATATTTTGAAAGTGTTTTTCAGATGCTTCCTAAATGCTTGCCAAAACTCTAAAAATCTCACGTGAGCAAAAAATATAATTTTTATTTGGCTTTGCGTTGTGTGAATAGACTGTCAGATGGTGAGAAGATGAAGGCAGTAGATTTGGTTCTTCACGAAGAGAAAGGGGAGGAACACGTGCTCTGAAACCAGGCAGGCTCAGGTCCGTGTCCTGGCCCCACCACTTAGCATCAGGCAACCTCAGCCCACCATTTAGTACCTCTGAGCTGTTTCCTCCTCTGTACAATGGGTTAACTCACAGGTTAACAAGTCAGGTTAGCTCAGCACATAGTAAGCACTCAATCAATAGTAGCAGTTATAACTTTCTAAAAGAATATCCATGTACTGGCTGGTGCATAGTAGGGTCTTCATAGGTCTTCATTTCCCCATAAGCAGGACCCAGTAGTAGAGGGATGACCTTGGGTTGTTGAGCAGAGCCTTTCTAAGAATGGGTTGAAATCCTACGTTGTCTATATATTTAAGGAGCCAGCACATTAAAAAATCTGATCTGGCAGATTGCTGATTTCTGCTAAGGTGGACAGGTGTGGGTTGTGGGTATCAAGAAATCTATTTAAGCCCACAAATACAGGTGTACCAGAAATATCAACTTTCTTAAATCTTTTTAAATGAAGTCAAATTCGACTTGGAGTCTCTACTGAGTTGTAGAAAAACTCTGATTTCAGTCATTACTGAGGCTCCTCGCTCCCAGATGGATGAATTTCTCCCTGGTCACCACCAAACCCCAACTAGCCATCCAGCATGTTTCCTCTAAGTCTAGAAACTCTGCTATTCTGAGCCAAGCTTGGAGCAACAGGCGAACCTCTGCCCACATTGGTATTTCTGGCACTACGTGTCTAGACGCTTTCCTCAGGCACTGCCAGGACTTGTTTGGAACCTCTGGCTTGTTCCCTGTCCCAGAGAAATCGACTTCTCACTTCCACTTTCCTCCCCAGGACCCCACCCCATAAGCTCACCAATGAGCTTTCAACAGAATTTGCAAACAGGCAGTTGTAAACTTGAATGAGGGCCCCAGATATTTCTCTGTGGTTTCTTCGTTGTTTGTTTGTTTGCTTTTAGTTTGTCTTAATAGACTTTATTTTGGAGGGCAGTGTTCAGTTTACAGAAAAATTGAGTAGCAAAGTACAGAGAGTTCCTCCATATACTCTTTCCGCTCTGTCCTTCACTCCACCATTATATGACCATCTGGTCTTAGTGAGGGTCATTTGGCACAACCGATGAACCAATATTGATACATTATTATTACCTGAAGTTCATGGCATACATTGGAGTTCACTCTGTGTTGCACAGTCTTTGGGTTTTGACAAGTGTATAATGACATGTGTCCACCATTACAGTGTCCTACAGAAGAGTTTCATGGCCCCTAACTCCTCTGGGCCCCACCTATTTCCCTCCTACCCCTGGAGCTGCTAGCAATGACTGATCTTTTTACCCTTTCCACAGTTTTCCCTTTTTTGTATCTTTTTAAATTAATTACTTTAGCTTCCAAGATTTAAAAAGTGGAATATTTTATATGAAAACCCAGATGTCCAAAGTCTCTTAAAAATGTAGGATATTCCAAGCAACCACAGGCTGGAGCTGAGTGCAGCTGCTGTCTCCCCCAAGTTCCCTACCCAGAGTGGGGTGAGCTCCTGCAGTTGTTCTTCCTCGTCATCTTGCAAGCAGCCTCCTCTCCCTTCCTTGGCCCTGGTAGATATTTGGGTTTGTGAATCTAGCCTGGCCTCCTGCAAACACTATCTCCTGCCCTGCAAATATATTCTTGGGGCTGAGGGTCACAACAAAATTGGCCACCTGCTTGAAATGAGAAAGAGAGAAAAATTTAGGGAAATCAAATACAAATGAATTCCTCTAGCAATTATCTAGTAACTTGTAGGAGGCTCCTCTGAGGCCACACAAACACCCAGCCACTACAGGCTGTCTGAGGCTGGTACCATGTCAGCCAACATCCTACACTCGGCAGATTCCTTCTGCATGCTCTGCACAGCCTGTACTTACGGGATGTCTGAGGCTGTGAGCCCGGTTGTGGGCTACACATAAAGTCCTTCAGTGGCCATACACCTCTGGGTCAATAATTTATGCTAATGCTGCAATTCACCCTACTGACCTCGTTTCTGGAGCATGTCAGAGAACTGGACACCCAGAGATTAAATTGCCCCTGGAGAGGCGTGGGTGATAGCAGCCACAAACGGAGAGAGTAGGAGAGGTTCAAGTTCAGAGCACACTACTGAGACACAGCCAGCAATGAAGGCCACCCTTTAACTTGGCTACAAGGTTTCATTTTGGAGAAGAGCCTGAGGCTCTAAGCAGTGAAATACAACCTGGCGTTAGGCTGCGCATGTTCCCATCCTTTCTCCTATGACAAGTCCCTGGGGCGGGCGGGGTGGGGGTCTTTACACACAGGGCTACTGGGCCGGGTGGGGAGTGGCCAAAACAGCCCTAGATGCAAGGCCCAAAACTTGCCCCTTAGGTGCTGTGTGATCTCAGGTAAGTTGCTTTGTCTCTCTGAGTCTCCATTTTCACCTCTGGAAGATAGAGGTGGCAATGATGCTTCTCTCACAGCAGAATAAACAGGGATGTTATATCCCAGGGGACTTCCAGGTCTCCTGTCCCAGCCCTACATCCCTCCCTGACAGTACCAACATCCTACCGACTGCCCAAGTCATCATACTCAAGTCCTCCCTCTCCCTCACTCTCCGTGTCTACTCAAGCCACAAGTATTACCTGAGCACCTCCTATGTGCCAGGCACTGACAATACAATGGTGAACAAAGCAGATCCCACCCCACCCTCATGGAACCAACATTACCCTCCTTGTGTCTTTGATGCTTGTACCTTCTCCTCTGGGTATTCTGATCCAAGCCATCTGTCTTTTGCCTGGATTCTGTAACATCTTGCACACTACAGCCAGAGTTCTTCCTGGAAACACACATCTGATGGTTAAAGACCTTCTGTGGCCCCTAGAATAAAATCAAAGCTCCCTGTGCTCCAGCCATCTTAGCCTCTTCTGTGTCTCTGAAAGGGATCTAGCCCTGTCCCACCTCTGGAGGTTGCCCTGGTTGTTCCTCCATCTGGTTTCCTTTTCTTAATAGGACATCATCTTCTCAGGTGTCACTCTTGAGACCTCCTTCTCCAGCTGACTCTCCTTAGTCCTTGCTGCTTCCCCATCACAGCTCTGGTGATGATGCTGGTGCTGATAGCCAATGTGCCTGTTGTGCTTTCTGTACACCATACTCAGTCCTAAGCCTCTTTTGTTATAGTGACACATTTAGTCCTCACAACAGCTCTGTGAGACAGAAACTACTCACAGTATACCCATTCTACAGATGAGAGAACCAAGGCAGAGACGAAAGTGGCTAAGCTGGGGCTCCACAGTACTACAGTGTTATGCCTCTGGCCACTCATTTGTGATCCCCGTGGAGGGTAAGACTCTTGTCTTGCTCATCTCTGCATCCCCAGCACACAGAGTCTGGCACATCATAGATGCTCAATGAACTCTCATAGAATGATGAATGGCCATCTTGCTGAAACAAATGAGCTAGTGATGTTCTGAAATCCCCACTCCAACTGCTTGGGATCATCTGAGCGTGAGGGATTCTTATTCTTGCTCTTGGACTGTGAGTTGGTTCTGCCCAGGGGAGGAATCTGTCTCCTTGCCCCAGAAAGCCCCCAGCAGCCCCTGCAGCATCTCTTGCTGGGGAATGCAGGCGTGGGAGGACGGTCCTTGCCATCATTTGTTTTTCTCAGCGTTGGCTTTTCTCCTATACAATCTGCCCCTGGCAGACAACAGAATCCAAGGATTCAGTACTGTTGAGGGTATTTCTGGCTGTGAGGGCTCCTGAGGTTTCCCCCTGTGCTGAGACAAAGGGAATTTGCCCAACCAGGGCTCTGCGAGGGGCCTTCGTGGAGATATTAGACACGGTATGATAGCACGAGAGCCATGTTACATTCGTTACAGCTTCATAGTTAATTTAGGATCTCGGCTGGATGAGGGGTGTGGCTGCTTGGCCTTTAGAGGCTGCCAAGGATGGCTGCTGAAGGTGAGCTTCTTTCAAGACCCAACGTGAAAATGAACTGTTGCTGTGAGTTCTGCAGGAAGATGGTTGGTGGGATGGGCTGATTCTAAGGACTCACTTCAGAGCCTGCAGTCTGAGGGTGGACAGAGCTTACTTTAAATCCCACCTTAGTTACTCTGTAGCTATAGGATAGGATATGACAAGATAGTATATTGTATTGGTCTGTTCTTGCATTGCTATAAAGAAATACCTGAGACTGGGTAATTTATAAGGAAAATTGGCTCATAGTTAAGCAGGCTGTAGAGGAATCATGACACTGGCATTTTCTTGGCTTCTGGGGAGGCCTCAGGAAACTTACAGTCATAGCAGAAGGCAAAGGGGAAGTAGGATCATCTTACATGGCCAAAGCAGGAGAAAGAGAGGCTGGCAGGGGAGGTGCCACACACTTAAACAGCAACCAGATCTTATGAGAACTCACTCACTATCACAAGAACAGCACCAAGAGAGAAATCTGCCCCCATGATCCAATCACCTCTCACCAGGCCCCACCTGCAACACTGGGGATTACAATTGACCATGATATTTGGATGGGGACACAAATCCAAACCATGTCAGATATGATATATGATGTGATAGATAATACAGCACAATATACTGTATTATATTATGCTATACTGTGTTGTGCAGCACACTCAGGATTTCTCAATAGGAGAGGGGTGAAATTGTCAAGAGCACAAACTCAGGAGGCAGGTGCCTGCATTCAAATCCCAGCTCTGACATTGACGAGCTTTGCAACCCCTGGCCTTGTCCCACCACCTTCCTGAGCTTCAGTTTCCTCACTTATAAAGTGGTAATAATAACAGAAGCCACCTAACTGGATTATTGGGATGATAGATGAAAGCAAGTGTATGGAAGCAGGCAGGTGTGTGGTAGAGAGAATGAAATTTGGAATGGTGCAACCTGATGTTTAAATCTTGGTGCTGCCACCACACACATGGTGTATGTGACTTTACGGGAGATTTTCAGCTCTCTGAACCTCACTTTCTTCATCTGTAAAATAGAAATATTGATTCCAATTTACCTTGCAGAGCTGTTATAAGAAAATATCATAATGCATATAGGGGCTGTAAAGGGTTGAATTGTGTTCCTCCCTCCAAATTCAAATGTTTAAGTTCTAACCTCCAGGCCTTCAGAATGTGACTTGATTTGGATATAGGGTAATTGCAGATGGAATTAGTTAAATTAGGATGAAGTCATAGTGGAGTAGAGTGGGCCCCTAATCCAATGTGACTGGTGTTCTTAGAAAAAGGGAAAATTTGGACACAGACTTGAACACAGGAGAAAGGACATGGGAACAGGAAGGCAGAGATCAGGGTCGTATTTCTATGAGCCAAGAAATGCCAAAGATTGCTGGCAAACCACCAGAAGCTTCAAGAGAGGCCTGGAACAGATTCTCTCACAGCCCCCAGAGGGAACCAATCCTGCTGACACCTTGACCTCTGACTGCCAGGCTCCAGAACCAGGAGAGAATAAATTTCTGCTGTTTAAGCCACTTGGTTTGTGGTACTCTGTTGGCAGCCCGGCTTAGCACAGAGCCCGGCACAAAGCGAGTGCTCACTGCATAGTTCTTGTTTTGTTATTCCTATGACCAGCATGTTCAGTCCTGTGATACCTGGGAAGCTTGTGGTGGGTCCAGAATGGGTCAGAACCCAGAACACAGCTGGGCTATGTGATGTGGGTGAGTTGCTTTCCCACTCTGGGCCCTCAGTGCCCTTATCTGTAAAACAAAAGCTCCACCTGATCAGAATAACGAATGAGACCCCTCACATGCAGATTTTACCGTGGCTTCACTGTGCACTGTCATCTCAAGCCCTCACCATGGCCCATGCATCACCATCCTCCCCACTTTACAGATGGGGACACTGAGGCTCACAGAGGGAAGAAGTCGCTTGCCCAACATTGCACAGAAGCCAAGTGGCAGAGATGGGGTAAAATGGTAGCCAGTCCATGCTAAGGCCTGCCCTTGGCCACAGAATACTGGTGAGGGTGGAAAGGAAGGACGGCAGAGGGACTGTGACCTCAGATTCTCTTCCAAGCCTGAAGACAACGTTGGCCACGTTGTTCTCATTTCCTCCTTTGGGCTTCTTCAGCATCTTCCTTGCAGGCTCACATCTCTCCGGAAGCTCTTGGAATCCTGCCTGTTCATAGGGAGGAGTCACCAAGCCCCCTTCAGACTCACGGGTGGAATAATCAAACACATATGCCTTGGAAAATGGGCTGGGGGATCCCCAGCCCCCCAACCCATTTCACACTCAGATGCAAGCAACACCCTCAGTCCCCAGGGCTCCCAGAGCTTTCTCATTCCATTTGTATCAATGTGCCCCACACATGTATGAGCCAAGTTCTACTTCTGGGGGAAAGAAAAAAATCTATTTCTTTCTGCATCTTGGCATCTATTTTTCCCAAAGTGCCAAGGAAATTCCATCTCTGATAAATGACAGGCAGCCACCAGAAAAGCTTGGATGTTTATTCCCTCCTGGGGAGAGGAACAGGGCTCAGACCCTCTTCTGAGCATCCTGGAGAATGCATTTCCTCCATTTTCTGGAGGGGCTGGGAGTAAGGCCTTCTCTTTTCTCTCTCCAAATGACCTCTGCTCAGACCTGGAGGCCCTTCCAGAACAGTTTCTGATGGATTCTGGAGTCTGACAGACCTGGTTAGCAAAGTACCCTGGACTTGGTAAATGGCTGTTTCCATCAATATCATTCATTCATAAGATATCACTACATGCACAGGCTGTGTGTTGAGCCTGCATCTTGTGCCAGCCTCTGTGTTAACTGCCTTAAACATCACTTCACTTACTCCTCACAAAAACCTGGAGGAAGTGGAGTGATGCCTCATTGTATAGGCAGGAAAACTGGGGCTTCAAGAGAGGCTGAATCGTATTCCTATGGACATGAAGCTAATAAGTGGTAGGTCATCAGCTAAGTGATACCACTAATAAGTAGTATTTGAATCCAGATGGGTCTGATCTGATTCCAAGTCTGAGCTCGTAAAAAGTCTATACCATCCTCCTGGCTAGCATGGTGAAATCCCGTCTCTACTAAAAATACAAAAAATTAGCTGGGCGTGGTGGCGGGCACCTGTAGTCCCAGCTTCTTGGGAGGCTGAGGCTGGAGAATGGCATGAACCTGGGAGGCGGAGCTTGCAGTGAGCAGAGATTGCACCACTGCACTCCAGCCTGGGTGACAGAGCAAGACTTTGTCTCAAAAAAAATAAAAATTAAAATTAAAAAAGAAAGAAAAAGTCTATACCATTCTTCTTTCTAAGTGTGGTGGGTTGAATAATCATCCTCTGCCCCACCAAACCTGTCCACGTTCAAATCCCTGGAACCTGCAAATATGGTACCTTAAGCATGGTAAGAGGTACTTGGCAGACGTAAATGAGTTAAGAATCTTGAGATGGGATATTATCCTGGATTCTCCAAGTGGTCCCACTGTCATCGCAAGGATCTTCATAAGAGGGAGGCAGGGAAGATCCGAGTCAGTAGCAGGAGATGCGATGATAGAAGACGTTGGAGTGATGGAATGCAGGCAGGAAGGGGAGGGGCCAGGAGCCAAGGCATGCAGGCAGCTTCTAGAAGCTGAAAAAGCAAGGAAGCAGATTCTCCCTGAAGCCTCCAGCAGGAACCAGCCCTGCAGACATCTTGATTTTACACTTCTGATTTTCAGAACTGAATAGAATGAACTTATGTTTTTTTAAGCTAGTAAGTTTGTGGTCATATGTTACTGCAGCCACAGGAAACTAATATACTAAGCATGGATAAAAAAAATTAAGGAAAGATACTAAAAGAATAAGTGAATGCCTGGAAAGGTAGTGAATAAATGAGTGAAACATAGTGGCATCAGTGATGGCTTGCCTTTGACATCCCAGTGGGTCACTGTCTTCTCTACAGCCCAGGACCCATGACAGAGTGGTTGGCATTACCACTAGACCTGTAGCCCTTCACTTATTTATACTGTTGTTTAATCTTAAATCCTTTTTTTTTTTTTTTTTTTTTTTCAGAGAGGGGGATGTTTGAAAACGTCCTACAATGGTATACCTTACATACTGTAAAGTACAAAATCAATAAATTTTTACAAACTTATAGAGCCATGGAACCATTGCCAAGGTCAAGATACAGACCATTCTTATCACTCCAGAGAGGTTTCTTTGCATTTCTTCCTAATTGATACCCCTGTCACCAGAGATTAATTTGCCTGTCCTTGAACTTCATATGAATGGGATCTTGTACTGTCTTTTCTTTTGTGCCTGGCTTCCTTTGCTTGATGTTATTTTTATAAATCCGTGAGATTTATTCACGATGTCACATATATCAGCGGTTTCTTTCTTGTTCATTCAATTTTTAATCCTTTCTCCTTTTGAAGGACACATGGCTGATTTTCTGCAGTTTGGGACCCTAATGAACAGAGGTGCTAGGGACATTCTTGTACAAATCTTGTGGGAGATTTAAGCACTCATTTCTTGTAGGTGTATACCCAGGAGTGGAATTGCAGGGTCCTAGGTATGTGAATGTTTCGCTTCAGTGGACAACACCAGTCTCCAGCCTGAATCTAACTTGAGGAATGCCTTCCTTGCCCGCAACAGCTTTCTCTCCAACAGATCTACCCACATCTCCACATTGTGTGGGTCACAATGCTTAGGAGACAAGGAGGCCCAATAACTCCTCACATCCCAGTCCAGGAAAGCCTCATCTGACCTGATGGGTTTCAGAGATGTGATGTAGGAGAAGGTGGGGACAAAGGGGGTACCCAGTCTCCTTTTCATGTGGGCTCATTTGCTAACCAGCAAATGGACTTGCTGCCCGATGCACATAAAAGCCAATGACTATGGCACTGGTTTTTGAGAAAAGAAAGACTTTATTGTAAACCTGGCTGGCAAGGAGACAGAAGTCAGGCTTAAATCTGTCTCCCTAATTTGGGATCTGGAGCAAATTTTAAGGGATCAGAGGGCAAGGGAAAAGATTTAGGAGTGGTGGGTTGGCAGGGTCTGATTAAAGGGCTTCAAATTTGACCATTTACAGTAAAGTATGTTGAGGCAGATTTTAACCCTGGATCTTCCGGGCCAATAGACCCCTCACTTCTGAAAGAGCTCCAGAGTTCAGGTCCTGGTCATGTCCCAGTCTTCTTGGTTCCAAGGGGAGGATTCATGGTTCCAGGTGTTGTTAAAGGTCAAAGATTTTTCTATTGTGCATACCCAGGCTCTGTTACCCCAAAGGGGACTCTAATTTTTTGTTGTTGGTGTTTTTTTTGGTACAGACAGGGTCTTGCTATGTTTCCCAGGCTGGTCTTGAACTTCTAGCTCAAGTGACCCTCTCATCTTGGCTTCCCAAAGAGCTAGGATTATAGGCATGAGCCACTGAACCCAGTCTACTCAGCATTTTGTCTTCAACAGAGCAGGCCCAGTTTGGGCTGGTACCAAGGTTACATGTTCTTTCTATATGGGACCCTCCCATTTGCTGAGTTGATGAGGCAGAGGTTTGGAGTTTAGTTGAGTGTGAGGTGGAGACATATCCCAAACTTAAATAATCAGCACACCACCCTTGCAATTTTTCCCACATTTGCTGTTTTTCTTGGAATTGATTTACTTTTTTACTGAAAGTTGTTTATTTAGGAAGTTAACTTACCTGCAAATATGAAATCAATATGACTTTCCCTAAATAGAGGTTAATCACTACAAACACTCCAAACAAAGACAAGGTAGATCAGTTCTAGCCCGGCACCATTACCTGCCTGGGATTCTGTGCCTGAGGCCTCTCTCTGTTATAAAGGCAGATTAGCAAGCATTTGAGAGGTGTTGAAGCTCTATTAGCACCAAACTGAGATTTTTTATTGATGTCATCAGAGATATTGAAGGAAAATTAAAAGTGAATACTTTTCTCACTTTATGATAGAATGGTATTTAACACTGGAATCTTCCCTTATGCTGAGATGGCTCCTACACTTTGAGAAACACTGATGTATTGAAAAGCCTCCTAGTTGGGAGTCAGATCTTTGTCCAAATGCTCTGCTAGCTCTGTAATATTGGATCAGTGACTTCATCTCTTTGAGCCTTAACTCCCTCATTTGTGCAGTGGGATGATCATAGCACCTGCCTCAGAGGCCTGTGAGTGTGAATGAAGAACTCAGTAAATGACTCTGCTCTTGGTATTTTTGTGATAGGGTCATCTAATGAATCTTATGTCTAAAGATTGATGCCAGCAGTGGGAATGGACATCCCAGAGATTTCTACATTGAGATTCTTAGGGTGTCTGCTCCTAAGCAAAATCCTCTGTTGGCTTCAGCAAAGTTCTCTGCCATTTTGGGGGAATGTTTATTGCCCTTGGGATTCTGCCAAGGTTAAATGGAGAAAGTGGTCCTGCTGAAATTCACACACTTTGTCATTGGCTCGCAGGCACAGATACTAAATCTGATCCACCGGAGAGTAAGCAGGATCTCTCCCATGCATCTGTTCTTACGGAGGTGATGATGTGTTGGGGCAGCAGATTCCCTGTCAGACCTACCTGTGTGCCACCCCAGTTTCACTATTTGCTGCATTTTTTCTTTCTTTCTTTCCCTCCTTCTTTCTCTTTCTTTCTTTCTTTCCTTCTTTCTTTCTTTCTTTTCTTTCTTTCTTTCTTTCTTTCTTTCTGTCTTTCTTTCTTTCTCTCTTTTTTTCTTTTTTTTTTTTTTGACAGAGTCTCGCTCTGTTGCCCAGGCTGAAGTGTAGTTCCATGATCTTGGCTCACTGCAACCTCCGCCTCCCGGATCCAAGTGATTCTCCTGCCTCAGCCTCCGGAGTAGCTGGGACTACAGGTGCCCACCACCACACCCAGCTAATTTTTGTATTTTTAGTAGAGGCAGGGTTTCACAATGTTGGCTAGGCTTGTCTCGAACTCCTGACCTCAAATGATCCACCCACCTCGGCCTCCCAAAGTGCTGGGATTATAGGCATGAGCCACAGTGGCCGGACTATTTGCTGTATGTTTTAGGGGATGCCACTTCTCCTCTCTGGGTTTCAGTTTGCTCGTCTCGTAAGTGGGAATATTCGAACCTTATAGAGTGATATGAATGATAAGATGAGATGAAGCACAAAATACAATAACCAAGTATTTAATAGACAAAAATCATTGCTGTAATTGTTCTTACTTGAGGAAGTCATAGGCTGCATTTAAATGTTCTGCAGAACTTACTCTGCCTCTTGGACTCATGATCATTCTAAATCTTTGTTTCAGAAAGAACCTCCCCCACCCCACTCCAATCTCTCAATTTTCATTCTATTCCAGATGTTCGCTTGTGTGTTCTCCACTGCCCAAACCCAGGTGGTTATTCTGCAACAGCTACAACTTGAGTAAGACCAAAACACAACTCAAGTGGACTTTCTAAAAAGAGAATAATTTATTTTGGCTCCCAGACATCAAAATTCGCAAGGGATTGCTTCAGGTATGGCTTGATCCAGGCTCAAACAAAGCTCATGAGATCTTAGTTTCTCTGCATCTCTACCTTCCCCTAGGCTTCAGCTGCCCTGATGGTAGCAAGATACTGCCAGGAGGCCAAGCTCACTTCTCCCAGATGCCCAAATCCATAAGAATCTAGAACCTTTCTCTCCCAGCCAAAGGCTTATTGTTTCTGATTAGAATACCTGCTTGTTTCTGAACCAATCGCTGTGGTAGGAGAGAGATATGGGCCATGTTGATGGGCTTAGGCTAGGCAGGACCTATTTTTGGAGGTGAGTGTTGGGTCAACCCCATGCAAGCCCCACTGTTGGATGAAATGTGGATTCTGGAGAGCATCAATGCTAGAAGAGGGTGAGGGGTAAAATGATCCTGGGGCTGCAATCAACTGATGTCCCATTGCTTTTTTCAAATAAATAACAAATTTTCCATTAGAAACTCAGCAATGGAGCAGGATTGAAGGAGCCTCTCTCTCTCTTTCTGTCTCAACTCATTCTTGTGCCACATTGCCTGAAAATAACAAGGTTGAAGTCAGAGTGATGAATGGGGGCAACATTGACTCGGCACTAATTTTGCCTGGAAGCCGTAGCTATTTTGGGCTCCTGCTGAGCCCTGGTTTAGCTTAGCTGGTTAGACAGTAGGGCTCGTGAGGTCAAGGGTATGAAGAAGGAGCAGAAACATGGGATTGGAGCAGAAGTCCTGGATCCTGATCATGCTCTGCCACTTTTCAGCTAGAAACCTTGAGCAAGTCACATATCTTCCCTGGATCACCATCTCCATGTCTCCCTTAAATGTCCCTTTACTCTGCCCCCATCTCCTCCATTAGGTCACCCCTACACATCTCTTATCCCAAGACTGACTGCCCATCCCAAGACTGGGTGGGATGCTCCTCCATGTGCCTATACAGCCTTAGACTTCTGAGTTCAAATCCTAGTTATTCCACTTACTTACTGAATGACTTTGGACAAGTTTATCAGTCTCATTGTGTCTCAGTTTCCTTGTCTGTCAAATGGGGATACTGTGACTAGTACCTATCTCATGGGGTTGTTGCAGTGATTACAATGGATAATTTATGTAAGCATTTAACATAGGGCTGGGCTCAGCAAATGCTAGCTTGAAAGAATGGTTCTGAAATCCAAGTGGAAAAACAAGCCTGTGACATAAAACTTCTCCCTTACTGTATGAGATTCATGGAGCTGTGTTTTTATACCATTCTCTCCTGCACCTCAGTATCTAGCAATGTTCCTGGTGTATAGCAAGTCCTCAATAAAATTTGTTAAATCAATGTCCTAGTTCATCATGTTCTAGGGTAGTGGTCCTCAACCACTGGGCCACACAGCAGGAGGTAAGCAGTGGGCCAGTGAACAAAATATCATCAGTATTTACAGCCACTCCTCATTGCTCACATTACTGCCTGAGCTCTGCCTCCTGTCAGATCAGTGGTGGCATTAGATTCTCATAGGAGCACAAACCCCACTGTGAACTGCGAATGCAAGACCTCTAGGTTGCACACGCCTTATGAGAATCTAATGCCTTCCATCACCTCCAGATGGGAATCTAATGTCTTCCATCACCTCCAGATGGGGCCGTCTAGTTGCAGGAAAACAAGTTCAGGGATCCCACTGATTCTACATTGTGGTGAATTGTATAATTATTTCATTATATGTAACAATGTAATAATAATAGAAATAAAGTGCACAATACATGTAATACACATGAATCATCCAGAAACCAATCCCCCCCACCCCCTGGTCCATGGAAAAATTGTCTTCAGTGAAACCGGTCCCTGGTGCCAAAAAGGTTGGGGACCACTGTTCTAGGGTATTCCCCTAGCTCTGCTGAGAGCACAGAATTGCAAAATTAGGCTGTCCATGGGCCTTGACAGAAACGTCAAGTTTGAAAGGTCAGTGTGAGCTGGTAGGAGGCTTCGTCTGTGACTGATTTGAGTGGTGCCAAAGTCACTCCCCTTCTTGAAGTCCCATTCTTGGCTCTCTCTGCTTCCCGCCCACCCAGAGCCTGGAGTTTAGGAAGACCCCTCTGACATGCAAACATCTGCATAAAAGTCCACAATCACCATCTTGTCACTGACTTTAATGATCTCATTAGACTGGCAGCATGTAGGGGAACAGGGCACAGGACAGTTTCCAGGGTCATGGTTGGAGGAATGAAGAAGTCAGAGAGAGGCTACCTCCCTGGGTGAGAGGAAAGGTAGCCAAAGAGCACACTGTTGGTTTTGCCCAGAGCTTGACTGGCAGTGACTCTGTAAATTTTGTTGGCAGTGTTGATATAACACCCCAAACAAGGTCCTCACTATTCGAGCAGCACATTAAAGACCCAAGGGAGGTTATTTTACTTGGCAGCTTCCCCACAGGGTGGCCAAGAAGCTGAAGGCAGAGACTGTGCTCCCAAAGCCTTCTTGTACTGGGAAGGGGAGAATAAGCCCCGCAGAACCTGTGGCAGGTAGCTTGCTTTTCTCTCCCCAAAGGCATTCTTAAAGCTGTATGCTGGCAGTGTTCTGTAGCCAAAGAAAATGTCCTGGATGTATGTGTGTGAGCTTGTATGTGTGTCTTCCAAACAAGAACCACCTTTCAGCCTTACCTTTATTTTTTTTCTGTTATGGGTTAGTTTTAGCACAATTTATTGCTTAGCTAAGTTAGGAAACTCACTTAATGCAGGTCCAGCACTATGCAGTGTAGTCACTACACACACACACAGAGAAACGGGAAAATAAGTGATAATGATGACATCAATGATGGTGATGACAAAGACAATGACAAGACAACAATGATGATGATGGTGATGATGTAAATATTAATGCTGCTGATGATGGCAGGGATGATGATATTGACAACAATGATGATGATGATGATGATGAGAACAAAAATCTATCGCCCAGTACTCTTCTAAGTGCTTTAATTTACTAACTTATCTAAGTCCCATAATCACCTTATGAAAAAGGATCTATGGTCATTGAATCCACCACCGGCTAGTTGTATGCGGCTGGGCAAGTTATTTCACCTCTCAGAGACTCAGTGACCCTATCTATAAAATGGAAATAAAAATAGCAGTTCTGGGTAACACACTTAGTCAATGTCTGACATGATGCCAGCGTTCAAGAGATAAAAGTGATTCTTATGTAGCCCCACTTGATCCTCCTGTCAACTCTGTGAAAGAGGAAGTATTTTTCTGACCCTGATTTTACAGAATGGTAGGCAAGTTCTCCCAGCTAGGAGTGGCTGAGCTGGGGCTCAAAGCTAGTCATGAGATTTCAGTCCTGTGGGCTTGCAGAAGCTGTTTTAGGCATCTCTGCAGGGCTAGTTCTGATCCACAGGGGTCCCTGGGCTAAGGCTGGGCTCAAAGGTCCACATGAGACCAGACTGGCTTCAGAGCATACAAAGCCCTCAGCCAGGGTAAGGTATTGCTAAGGTAGGAGAGGCTGGTTCTTTTGTGCCCATGAAATGAATCGCTGGGTACCTGGACTAGTCTGGGTGGCAGAGACACAAGTCACTCAAATCTCTTACCTCCCGCCCAGGAAGGCTGGTGGTGCTTCTTGACTTGGAGCCAAAAGAACCTAGTTTTCTAGCTCTTAGGAAGACCTCTCTGACATGCAAACATCTGCATAAAAATCCACGATCACCATCTTGTCACTGGCTTTAACAAGCTCATTAGACTGGGAGCATGTAGGGGAACAGGGCACAGGACAGTAAGTTTTCCAGGGTCATGGATGGAGGAACGAAGAAGTCAAGAGAGAGGCTCAGACACCCATATTGCTACAATTACACCATTTATTATGGTGGCCACTGGCCACGTATGGCTATTGAACATTTGAAATATGGCGAGACTGCAGTAAGGTGTGCTGGACATGTGAAATACACATCAGATTTTTAAGTCTTTGTATGAAAAAAAGAATGTGAAATATCTCAATAATGCTTCACACTTATGTTGAAATGACATTTTAGATCTAATAGATTAAATATATTATCAAAATTAATTTCACTTGTTCCTTCTTCATTTTTTAACATAACTTCTAGAAGATTTTAAGTTATATATGTGGCTCATATTGTATTTCTGTGCTCTACAGTTTATAGTCTACTGAGGTGATTAAACAGCTGGATTAAGAGTTTCCATCCCGGAGTCAAACAGACTGAAATCAAATCCCCATTTCACCTCTAACCAGCTGTGTGACCTTGGGCAAGTGACTTCCCTTCTCTGGGCTTCAGTGTACCTGCTTGTAAAATAAAGGTAAATATTTGGGAAGAATTTTGTCAAACTGTATGATTTTAAATAAGAATTCTTTTTATTCCTAAACAAAAAAGAAATACTATCAGAAACACTGACAAATATTATTGATGAGGAATTCTACTTGCCTTAAGAAAGAATAGGCTTTGCATTCAGTCAATTCAAATCTAGCCAAAAGCACAGAGCTGCACCATTGTTGAGAGTTAATATATGATTTCTAGGGTTTTTGGAAATCCTGAGGGGTCCCTTGGACCCTAGAGGGCTGTCAGAGACCTCTAAGAAGCTGGGACTATGGGAGAGAAAGGAGTACCGTGATCAATATTCACTCCTTACAGACAGGGGAATGGATGACCAGAGAGGTTAGGTAACTTGTTCAAGGTCACACAGCAAGTAGGTGGCAGACTAGGTCCTGCCAGGGTCTGTGCTCGTGATCACTTGCTATACTTTGTCATCATACCCAATTATCACAAAAGTCCTACTTTTAGCCCTATTTAAAGATGAAGAAACAGGATCAGAGAAGTTAAGGCACTTGTCTGTGGTCACACAGTGGCAGGTGGCATTCAATGCCAGATATACTGGGCTAAAGAGTGCCCCCCAAAATTCCGTGTCCATCTGGAACCTCAGAATTGGATCTTATTTGGAAATAGAGTCTTTGCAGCTGTAACTAGTTAAGTTGAGGACATACTGGATTCAGGTGGGCCCTAAATTCAGTCACTAGTGTCCTTACTAAAGAAAACAGAGACATGCAGACACACAGAGAGAATGCCACGTGAAGACAGAGAAAAAAATTGGGGTTACACCTCTACAAGTTGGCAAATGCAAAAGATCGCCAGCAACTGCTAGAAGCTGGAAGAGGGGCACAGAACAGATTTTTCCTCAGAGCCTTCCCAGAGGACCAACTCTGCCACCACCTCGATTTTGGACTTCTGGCCCACAGAGCTGTGAGAGAGTAAACTTTTGTTGTTTTAAGCCACCCAGTTTGCAGTAATTTGTTACAGCAGCTTTAGGAAGCTAACACATCAGGTGCTATGGTGTGAAAGTTTGTGTCCCCCCAGATTCACAAGCTAATGCCCTAATCTTAAATGGGAAGTGATTAGGTCATGAATGAGATTAGAGATCTTGCAAGAAGAGACAGGAGATAGCTTGTTTCCCCCCACTCCCCGCCCCTTCCCCCTCTCTGCCATGGGAAGACACAGTGAGAAGACCAGGAATCGGGGCCTCCACAGACACTGGATCTGCTGGCGCCTTGATCTTGGACTTCCCAGACTCCAGAACTTTGAAAAATAAATGTGTGTTGTTTAAGCCCTCCAGTCTAGAGGGCTAAGACACAAGACATGGCACCCTTGCTGCTGCTTCACTAGCAAAGCCCCAGCTCATCCTGGGGTGCTGTCGAGATGTCCCCCTCCCATCCTCATCCCAGACCCTCCCACCAGCCACCAGCCTGAGCAGGTGCGGAGCCTCAGAGTGGCCCTGCTGGCTCTTGGCTGTGAGAAAGGCCTTCTGCTCCAGGCATGGTGAGCTCTTGCAAATTACTGTTTTCAGTTGAAAAGAGGCTCCAGAGGGCTCTTCAGCTGCTCAGCAGGAGACGTGAAGGCTCTTGAATTAACTCAGAGAATCAGAAGCTTCTATGGCTGATGGCCAGGAGGCCCCCCCACCCTCCCCTGCCTTCATCCTATCCCTTGGTCGGGGGTTCCCTGACCAGGTGCTTCTCAGGAGTTCCCACAAGAGCAGCCTTGGTGGAGGCCAGATCCAAGTCACCTGTGGACTGATTGCCCAGTAGATGCTGGGGTAAGGGGATGCTGAATGAGGCTCTGCTGTTTCCAGGGGGTCAGCATCCTTCTGACTCCTATGGTGAAGGGGCCTGAGTGTGTTTCCTGTACAACCAGGAGTCCTGTCACTGGTCTGCACACACAGTCGGCCTTTATTTGATCCAATCAGAAGGCAGGAAGCCATTGAGGCAGAGCTGATTCCTGGCTCTCTGTGTGTGTGTGTGTGTGTGTGTGTGTGTGTGTGTGTGTGTGTGTCAGGGACTATCAGGGGTTTGAATATCCTTGCCCTACCGGGTGATCTGGCATAAATTCACCTCTATCTCCACCTTAGTTTGGGCCATTCTCCCCAAAGCCTGCTGTGCATTCATCCAACCATGCTCCTTGAATGTGGGGTGTTTGCCAGGCCCCGTTATGCACTTTACAGCGTCATCTCACTTGGTCTTTACGAATCCCTGTGCTGAATTATGATCACTGTCCCCACTTGACAGATGACAAAACCGAGGCCCAGTCACTTGCCCAAGTTCCCAGAGCTGACAAGTGGCTGAGCAGGATTTGGATGTTAGTCTATCTTGCATCAAAGTCCACACTCCTTCCCGTAGTAATCTGGGCAGCTTCTCCACTCTCCACCCACATTCCCTCCCCACATATGTAGGCATCTTGCCCTTAAAAAATATTCAAGGCTGAAGCTGCCTTACATAGAGTATTATAATTAAGAGACTGGGCTCTGGTGTCAGACATTTCCAGGCTTAAATCCCAGCTCTACCACCTGCCAACTGAGTGCCTCAGTTTCCTCACCTGTAACTTAGAGACAATCATGGATTTTGATTTCGGGGGCTCCTATGGGGATTTGGTGAGGGAATATGCACTTAGTACATGAGTCCCCACATGGTAGCCAGAGTCTGATGTCATTGCTGGACAGTGTCCTCCAAACCAAGAAAGCTAATGAACACTGGGTCATGCCTATTGCCAGGGTTTGCTCATCCCACAAAATATCTTTGAGCTCCTAATTTTTAAATTATTTTTCATTCTTTAGAGATAGGGTCTTTCTCTGTTGCCCAGGCTCGAGTGCAGTGGCACAAGCATAGCTCACTGCAGCCTCAAACTTCTGGGCTCAAAGGATCCTTCTGCCTCAGCCTCATGAGTAGCTAGGACTACAGGTGCATGCCACTGCACCTGGCTAACTTTAAAACGTGAGTTTTTTTGCAGAGATGGGGTCTTGCTTTGTTGCCCAGATTTGGCCTTGAACTCTGGGCTTCAAGCGATCCTCCTGCTTCGGCCTCCCAAAAGGCTAGGATTATAGGTGTGAAGCACCATGCTCCGCCTCCTTGAGCTTCTAAAATGGAAATGTGTCAGTCACTGTGGTGGGAGCCAGGGACACAGAGGTGAGGAAGACAAGACTCGCCCCTCTCTTCAGAGTGCTGATGGTGGTCTTGGAAGGGAGGGGGACCCTGAGCCGAGCATGCATCAGCTTTCTTTTTATAAGCACGTGATTCTTCACAGGGCACAATTCCTTCCCTGCCCAAAGAGACATTTGGCAATGTCTAGAGACAGGTTTGCTTGTCATGACTGGTGGGTGTTACCAGCACACAGGGGGCAGGAATGCTAAACATCCTGCAATGCACAGCACCGGACAGTTCCCCTCATCAAAGAAGCACCTGGCCCAAAATGTCAGTAGTGCAGAGGCTGGGAAATGCTGGGACATGCACAAGTGAGCCCCATGAGCACTTCTGTGGCCTCTGCACAGAGACCCCAGGGTTCCACAGACTAAAAGAGAGGAAGCATGTGCCCGCACCACCCTCTTCCAACCTGCCTTCTCTCATCAGCTGCTTCCAGCCAGATAATCAGGCCTCCCCTCGGTTTAATAGGATCCAGGCCGCTGAGGCAAATGTAAAAACAAAACCCTGTGCAAATGTGTTTTTATGTAAACACAGCAGGGGGTGGTGGCTGCCTGCAGAGAAAGAACCCTGTGGCTGGTACTTCTCAGAGCAAAAATAACCCCAGTGTTACTGCTCTGGGAGCAAAGCAGGCAATGGGATGAGGGGCGTGTGGGAACCCAGGTGTTCCTGGGAGCCATCCCTGCCCCAGTGAGCCATCCTCTGCCTCCAGGTGAACCTTTCAGGCGCCTAGAATAAGTGAGCAGGCGTTAATCCTCTTGGAAGCATCCCTTCCTTCAGGGAAGCAGCCAGCATAGGAGGAAAAAAGCACAGTGGGTTAATGTTACATGGCATTTTTCTTTTCTTTTCTTTTCTTTTTTTTTGAGACAGAGTCTCGCTCTGTCGCCCAGGCTGGAGTGCAGTGGCACGATCTTGGCTCACTGCAAGCTCCGCCTCCTGGGTTCATGCCATTCTCCTGCCTCAGCCTCCCAAGTAGCTGGGACTACAGGCACCCGCCACCATGCCCGGCTAATTTTTTGTGTTTTTGGTAGAGTTGGGGTTTCACCGTGTTAGCCAGGATGGTCTCGATCTCCTGACCTCATGATCCGCCCACCTCAGCCTCCCAAAGTGCTGGGATTACAGGCGCGAGCCACCACGCCCGGCCTATTGTTATATTTTCTTTAATGTTTTGTATTGAGTATCGTTTACCTACAGTAAAATGCACCCATTTTAGTGTACAGTTTGGCAAGTTTTGACAAATGTGTACAACCATATAACCTCTACTGCAATCAAGATGAACAAATGTTCCATCACCCTCAATTCCTCTTTGCCCCTCTGTGGTCAATCCCTCTTTCATCTCTCGCCCCTGACAACCACTATCTGTTTTGTGTTGTCTTTCTTTTCTGCCATTACCAGAGTGTCATATAAATGGAATCATAATAGCCTTTGAGTCTGGCTTCTTTCACTCGGCATAATGCATGATGCCTTTGAGGTTTATCAGTGCTGTTGTGTCATCAGTAGCTGATTCCTTTTCATGGCTGAGTAGTACTCCGTTGTATGGAGGCACCACAGTTTGTTCATTCACCATTTGTTTGCTTTCATTTTTGGCAATTACAAATAAAGTTGCTATAAATATTTGCATGCAGATTTTTGCCTGAGCATGGGTTTTCATTTCTCTTGGGCAAATACCTAGGAGTGGACATTTAACTTTTTAAGAAATGGTCAAACTGTTTTCCAAAGTGGCAGTATACCTTTTCACATTCCTACCATGGATGGATGGGAGTTCCAGTTGCTCCACATCCTCTCCAGCACTTGGGATTAGTTTTTGTTTTTTGTTTTTGTTTTTTTTTATTTGAGCCATTCCAGTACAATGTGTGTGTACTGGAATTTAAAAACCTCCTGTCTAGACGATTAGAACAGCCCACGTGAAAGCGATTAGAAGTGACTGGAAAAAATCAGGTGTGTGGTGGCATCTCATTGTGATTTTAATTAAAGCACAGGTTGTTGAGTTCTGTGGTCCTGGTGCTGCTCTTAGCAGCAGCTGGCAGGAGGCAGCTGATGTCAGTAGTTATAAGCACGAGTTCTGCAAGCCATCCCAGCTCTGCCTCTTGCTGAGTCTATGACCTTGCATCCATTATTCAATGCTCTGAGCCTCAGTTTACTCCTCTGTTAAATGGGGCTTGTATTAGTGTTTCTCACTGGTAATATTATGAGGTATAGAAAATTTAGTATGTATATATGTGTAATATATATTATGTGTATTATTTTATATAGATATATTTTAAAAATACTAAATAGGACTGGTGTGCGAGTTAGATGAAGTAATGTGGAGAGAGCTGGCATGGTGCCTGGCCCAGAGTGAGAGCCCCTGCTTGTTAGAAGTCGCCGTGATTATAGTTACTGGGCACTTGCTGTGTATTTAAAAGCAGTAAGTATAGTGAGTGCAGCCAGACTTACCCAGTCAAATCCTGGCTCTGCCTCCTACACCCTAGCTGTGTGACCTTGAACAAGTTACTGAAGCTCTCTGGGCCTCTGATTCTACACCTGTAAAATGAAGATAATTATAGTGCCTGTCTCAAGGGGTTTTTATATGGCACAAATGAGTTTAAATGTAAGGGGCCAGCTTCCTTTGTTCAACATTGTTCAGCCATTTATGAGGCTCAACAGCTGGGCGTGGTGGCTCACACCTGTAATCTCAGCACTTTGGGATGCTGGGATGGGAGGATCACACTTGAGCTCAGGAGTTCAAGACCAGCCTGGGCAAATAGTGAGGCCCCATTTCTAAAATAATAATAAGAGGCTCAAGAATGTACAAAGCTAACCTATGGTGATAGAAGTTAGAAAAGTGATGGCCCCTGGGGAGGGTGATTCGCTGAGAGGGGACAGTGGAGAGCCTCTAGGAGCCAGGGGAATGTTCAGAGTCTTGATCTGGGTGGGTCACCTGGGTGTGTACATATGTGAAATTCCTGCGCACTTGTTTTTACCATGCCACATATGAATTCTCTCTCATTAAAAAAAAAGGAAAAGGAAATGTTGAGGTCCTATGCAGAGCACTGGTGTATCAGTTTGCTAGGGTTGCTGTAACAAAACACCACATGCTGAGTAGCTTAAACAACTAAAATTTATTATCTCACAGTTCTGGAAGCTGGAAGTCCAAAATTAAGGTGTCAGCAGGGTTGGTTCCTCCGAGGTGTGTGTGGGAAGAATTTGCTTCCTACCCCTCTCCTTGGCATAGATGGCCCTCTTCTCTGTGTCTTCATAGCGTCTTCCCTCTGGATGTATCTGTCCTGATTTCCTCCTTTTGTAAGGACACTTATGAAAGGGCATGGTGGTGACCAGCATCTATGGTGACCAGCATCTGAAAAACACCCCCCCTAATAAAAAGTATAATCACTTGTTCATTGACCTACCAGCACCATCGAATCTCTCTGCATGGTGAAACTTTGGCTCGCTTCTAGGCCTTTGCCTGACCCTTCAAATCATGACACGATTGTTCCTTGCTATGCACTATACATCAGATACTTTACCACCTTCTCTCAGTCACACACATCTGTCAAGATGTAAACTATGGCTGAATCATTCGACATCTACATGCCAACGGGGCTTCAATATTCTTTATCCGCTTATTTTTACATGTAAGCTAAGGCCTATACTACAGATCCTACACCTTCTTAGAAACTTGAAACACTGGTATTATTCTTCCATTCACAGTAACAGCAACAATACTCATAGGCTACCTGACATATTAGATTAAAGCACACCCCAGTGACCTAATTTTAACTGGATTACCCCTGTGAAGAGACTGTCTCCAAAGAAGGCCACACTCTGGGGTACTGGCAGTTAGGATGTCAACGTATTAATTTGGGGAGACATAATTCAACCCACAACCGCCTACGTAGAAAACACCCTCTGAGTAGTAGTTTGTGGTAATTATTATAAGGCATTCATTCTCATTTAATTCTCACAACCTCTGAAGGAGATACTGTCCACTTAACATGTGCAATCTGAGGCCTAGAAAGGTTCTGGGACACACCCTGTGTCTCATGGGCATTAATAGCAGGCTGGCCTTTAAGTCAAGGTCCACCTGTCCCCTCACTGAGGATCAAACTCTGAGTTTTTTTTCCGGCCTCCTCTAATCACTTTCACATGGCCTGTTTAATTGTCTGGATAGGAGGTTTTTAAACTCTAGTCCCTGGACCAGCAGCATCAACATCGCCTGGAAGCCTGTTAGAAATGCACGTTTTCAGGCTCCACGGGAGTCCTGCTGTGTCAGGAACTTTCAGCGGGGGAGGGGGGGCAGAGGGGGCACAGAGCCTGTATTTTAACAAGCCCCCCAAAGGATTTCCAAGCTCACTCCAGTTTGAGAACTCCTGCTCTATGCAGCCCCTGAGCATCACACTGTAGCAATGAGTTGCCTGATTGGATCAAACCAAAAGGCCAAACCAGATTCCATATGGGACATAAAACTGCAGCAAGCACGTGGCTAATGGCCAGTAGCTTTCTCTGGGCTGGAAGGTCTTCTCTCTGATTCAGGAGACTTTAAAGACCAGCTTGCTGTGTGAGGCCTCCCTTCTCTCTGGTGGGATTGGCAATTGTACATGAGATTCCTTCAGGAATGGTTTGATCCAGACGATCATCCAGGACTTGGCAATGAGCTAGCCATAGAGGAGAGGGGAAGACCCAGCTCCAAGGAGTGCATGTTGCCTCTGGGGAGGCAGTGGTGCCACTAAAATCCCTCTGGAGCCACACAGCCCTAGGTTGAAATTCCAGCTCTGCCACTTATGACCTGCGTCACCTTGGGCAAGTCGCTGGACCTATCTGAGCCTCAGTTTCTCATTTGTATAATGGGGAGAATAGCACTCGCCTTCTAGAGTCATGGTGAACATTAGAAATTATGCATTTCAAATACAAAAGAAAAAATTAGCTGGGCGTGGTGGCAGGTGCCTGTAATCCCAGCTACTTGGGAGGCTGAGGCAGGAGAATCTCTTGAACCTGGGAAGCAGAGGTTGCAGTGAGCTGAGGTCACTCCATTGCATTCCAGCCTGGGTGACAGAGAAAGACTCCATCTCAAAAAAACAAAAAAAAAAAAAAAAAGAAAAAGAAAAGAAAAGAAAAGAAATCATGTATTTCAAGGTTCTGGAAGCCCAACAAGTAAAATTGGGATTGATTTTGCTTGAAATTAAGACAGACCCCAAGATTTTACAAGCTAAAAAATAAGATTGTCATTTTCCTGATGGCAGGGGTCATATCATCTTCATGGATGTATTCACAGCACCTGACATACAATAGGTACTCAATAAATATTTGTTAACTGAAGATATAAAAACATGCCGCCCCCCGCAGTGGAGAATATTTGGCTCCCACTGATTAGAATAGAGGTCTTTTCAGCCAAGGAGGGAGAAATTTTCCTCAGAGATGATGCATTTGTGCAGTTTGTGCAGGATACTCTCGCTGTGGATAGATCCCTTGGCTCAGGCCAGGCCCGTGGGACAAACCTTGGCTTGCCAAATGGCTGTCACTCAATGAATGTTTGTTGAATGAATGGATGAGCTGTAGTTTGAATGTCGGGGGAGGGAGAAGTAAATAGGAACCAGAAGAAATTTTAAGGTAGTTTTTATTTTTATGTTTTACTAAGCAAGAGCCAGAGGAACAGAAAGCTCAGTCCACTTGCTCTAGGCCACACAGTCATTAGAATGAGGTTAAAAGATGGGGACAGAAAGAAGGAAAGTTTGAGACCACAGCTTGAGCCTCCTCCAACTCTCACAACTACCCAGCACCCACTACATAATTTGCAGGGTGCAAGGCAAAATGAAAATGCAGGGCTCCTTCTCCAAAAATTATGAAGAATTTCAAGACAGTGACAGCAGAGCTTTAAACCGAGCACAGCAGGCCTTCTGAGTGTGGGTCCTGTGGGACCACACAGTGCAGGTTGTGAGCCTGTGAAAATGGACCTGCAACCACTTCCTCTACAGATGGGGAAACCCAGCTCAGAGAGGCTGCAAATGTCACCCAGGACACCCAGCCTGTCCTGCAGGGGAGTCCGGATTCAAGCCCAAGAACCTTAGTGGTCATCTGATTGACCTCTTCATGGAACTAGCCTGTCTGACTCCCTGTGCACTGCCATGGGCAGAGGGCGTCCTGTGCTATCTATGAGAAATGAAAGGAGCTTATCCATCCCCTTAGGAACCTGACATGCTGCAGCCGTCAGCAGCCTATTCCAACCCTCGTGCCTTGCTCTTCCTCCCTGGGATGCAACCAGACAGACCTTCCTCCCTCCCACCCCGGCGGATTTATTCCTGGGGGTGTGTGGGCGGCTGCGTGTTTGTGTGGGGGGTGTTCATCTAAATTTAAAGACATCATGACAGCAAAGACCTATTAATGTTGGGGCTGGTGAGGACTCACTTTTCAAAGAATCCCAAATAAATTAAGAGATACAAGACCGCCCCAGTTCTAACTTCTGTCCCTGTTCCACCTTACTCTGTGCCTATCAGCCCTCTGGCCTGGGATAAGAAGAGTAAAGGATATTGACGGGGACTAGATGCCTGTCAGGGACCCTGAGAGGTGGCATGATGGCACCCATTTACAAGTTGGGAAAATGGAGGCTCAGAGAGGTGACATGCGATTGTTAAGGGTTTTTTGTTTATTTGTTTTTAGAGACAGGGTCTCACTCTGTTCTCCAAGCTAGAGTGTGATGGCATGATCATAGCTCACTGCAACCTCAAATTCCTGGGCTTAAGCCTTGCCAAGGTCTTGAGTTAAACAAAGTGACAGAGCTGGAGGAGGACTCCTACACATTCCAGAACTCACCTTCCACCAAGCCATAGCTGCCCCTGTTGATACAAACGTGCAAATAACAATAACTGTGGTTGTGCTGAGGCCTGGGAATTACCTGGCCCCATGGTAAGCATTTTAAACAGTTACTGCAGGTAACTCTGCCAATACGCAGATGCTTTGCATGCCATATTCTCATCCCATTTTATGGGCAAGGAACTAAGGCTTAGAGAGATTAAATGGTTTCCTCAGCTTTCTCACTGCTGTTAAGTGACAAGCCAAGATTCCAGCTCAAGTCTAACTGACATCAAAACTCATGCTCTATCTCTTTCTTTAAATCCAGCTAATTATGGAAAACAGAAACACAGATCTGCAAAATGAAAAAATAAATCACTCCTAATCCTACCTCCAAGAGGTAACATCTTTCTGTATATCGTTGTGTTTCCATCCATCTGTTTTTCTCTGCCAAAAGGGAGATTCTTGCTCCCGGCAGCTGACCTTGCTGTTCTGTAATTGCCAGGCAATTTAGAGATGACTTGAAATATATAATTCATGGGTGCATCTTTCATCCTGGTCACTGGAAGGCAGCGAGGCATGACTGTCTCCCGGAGAGAATTTCAACTTTGACATGGGAGATGAGATCTTAGGAGCTTAGAAAAAAATTTCACAATTGGAGAGCCCACCAACATTGAAACTAAACCAAAAACTATCTGAGACAGGTCTCAATCAGTTTAGAAGTTCATTTTGCCAAGGTTAAGGATATGCCCAGGAGAGAGGTCTGTGCATTTCTCCAGAGATGACTTTGAGGGCTTCAGTATTTAAAGGAGAAAAGCAAGCTGGAGGGGAAAGAAGGTATGGTCACGTTACTAAACCCACAGGTTGCAAGAGAAAAGGAGCAGGTAGAGGAGTAGTCAATTACGTTATTTGTTTCCCTCTCAGTAAATCAGCACTTTACATAAGATAAGGTGAACATCAAGTAGCTACCTGTGGAGATATTTCACCTTTTATCTGTAGCTATCTGCTTAAGAACAAAAGGAGAGGCAGTTTCTTGCCTGACTTAGCTTCCAGCATAACTTTTTCCTCCTTTTAATATAGTTTTTTTTTTTCCTTGCACAGAACGGACCCTAGTATCCCAGCATAGAGTGCTAGAAGTTGGGGATCCTAGCGTGGAACCTCACAATAGGATCTTATGATGGAGAGCTAGGATAAAAATCTTAGAAAGGAGCTCTAGAATCTGGCACCAAAACTTTGTAAGCCTGGATTCAGATGGGTCCACAGGCAGTGTTCTGGTTCTCTCTTCCATTAGGTGCAGGCCAGGGATGCTATCAACCACCCTACAATGCACAGAACAGCTCTCCTCAACAAATTATCCAGTCCAAAGTGCCAGTGTCACTGATGATGAGAAACTCTGGTCGTGACTTTTCAAGACAGGTGCTTCTTTATTCTTTTGACAATTCCAGGGGATGAAGAAACCACCTTTGGTCAAAATGAGAAGATCCAGTTTCTAGTTTTAGCTCCAAGACTAACCATGTATCTCAGGCAGGTCCCATGGTGTCTGCTGTTTCTCACTCATGAAGTGGGAATAAGGATTCCTGCCATGTGTTATAAATGGGTATGGCCTGATAGGGCTGGTTAACTCTGTGTATGTGCTGGGGGTGAGGGGGATGACAGCCATGGGGCTGTGCACATGTTCAGCATGCATGAATCTCTGCACCTCTGTGTGGCCTCCTGGCACCTTCTCTGTGGTACGATGGTGTCCAAGTGATGTCTTCATGGATAGAATGGTCAGTCAGTTTCTGGCACTTGTTGCTTGCATATGAAGGGACATCTCTCTGTTGGATGCCAGCAGAACTCCTTGGGCCACTAAAGGCTTGGGAACCCCTGTGCCTTCTGAGCGGGCTCTGAGCATTCAGAGGAGAAAGGCTGTCTTGTACAGAAAGCCTCCAAATCACTCCACTTGCCCCACAGAGAGGAGGCCCCGAGGTCAGAGGTCAGAGGGTGGCACTTCCACAGAAAACAATGTCACATAGAGGTTAGGATTAAGGGTCTGGAGTCAGACAGGCCTGGGTTGAGTCTTGTTCTGCCACTCACCAGCTCTGCCCTTTGGCAAGTTGACTGACCTCTCCAGGCCTTGGTTGTCTCATCTGTAAAGTGAGATTAAACCCAACCTACCAAGCAGAGCCCCTGGGGAGAGGCAATGGCACAGGGTACATGGAAGGGCCTGGCACATAGTAATTGTGCAACAAAAGGTGTTTATCCATTTTTCTTCTTTCTCAGGAGGGTGCCAAGGCTGAAGGCTGGGATGCAGGAAAACTGGGTCTGGGTAGAGTCACCCTCCACCTCCCCTTTAGGCCTCAGTTACCCCATATGTCTGTGAGGAAGCTGACCTGGAGGTTATGAACAGTCCTCCCTCCTGCTTTGATGGCTGTGAGCCCACCTCTCAGTCCTGCTCAGAGCTGGCAGTAGGTGCTGGCAACCCCTCCAAGGGCACAAGGTTCTCCGGGACAGGGGAAGAGAATTTGAACCTGTAGAGGTGGGCTGGGGAGCACAGAGACCACCTCTCCACCACCACCCCCCAAACACACACACACTGCCTTGGACAGAAAGATTGGGCTTGGGTGATTTGGGGGTGGGGATGGCAGTTATTTTTCACTCCTGGTGGAAAGTTCCTCTTTGGGGAAGGGTTGCTAATAGGTGCTGTCACCGTTCCTAAATTAGAGTTCAATCCACCGTGGTCAGTGTGGAACCAGCAAATGGCAATTTGCTCGTGTTTGCGGCTGGGAGCAATGGGGGCTGCCAGGGAGCAGCGTGTGCTCTGGGAAGAAACCTGCAGGGCAGGAACCAGCTCAGCCCTGGCCTGGCTGTGTGACTCTGGACCACTCCTCCAGCCTCTCTGAGCCCCCGGGTTCCTCATCTGTAAAACATCAGACTTGAACTAGCTGGTGTCTAAGGGCCCTTTGAACTCTAGGATTCTATGGTATCATAATCATAATCTTGGTAATAGCTAAAAAGTATTGAGCACTTACTTGGGTCCAGGTCTATGCGAGACATTTTATATGGACAGAGGTTATTTCATTCAAGTTTCTCCAAGCCTCAGTTTCCCCTTATGTAAAGGAAGGCTGTTTCGCTAGGTGTTGGATCTCCAGGCTTTCTTGTAGCTCTGTCACTTGCTGTAAGGAAGAAGCTGAGTGACCTGAGAGTGGCCTTTGAGCTCTGAAGAGGGACAGGGTGAACTCCTTCAGTGGTCCTAAGCCCCTTCCCCCATAAACTCTGTATCAGTTTCCATTGCTGATGAAAATTAAGGGTCAGCAAATACTTTCTGTAAAAGGCTAGAAGGTAAATATTTTAGGCTTTGAGGGCCACATTTCCCTGAGCCCCAGCCAGAAAGAAATTCTAAATCCTCCCACAAGCCTTGCCAAGCACCTGGACCTTGGACCTTTCTAAGCTCCAGCAATCAACAAGCATTTTTCAGCTCAGCCTCTGAGAAGTGGTCACATCCCACTGGGACAGGAATGTCCTCAATGTATTATTTAGGAAATGGGCTCCGGTCACACTGCAGTTCAAGAACAGTCCTGAGCAGAAACTCTAGGCCCTTGTGGGATGGACCCCCACTGACCTTTTTCCACCTCCCAGTCTCTGCATGGTGTCTCCTGCTGCCTGGGACATTCTTGCCCCAGATCCTCCCATGACTGTCTCCTTGTCATTTTGCAGATCTCAGCTCAAATGCCTTCTGAGAGGGGCCTTTGGGAACCACCCTACCACACACAGCTTCCTCCTATTCTCCATGCTAGGACTTTCCAATTATTTCAGTGACCCCACAGTGAGAAATGTATTTGACATTGTGATGCGCACACACAACCGAGGCAAAGGTTCACAAGATAACATTTCTCCTTACTGTATGTGAGTCAATGATAGCTTACTCTACGCCATTCCCTTTCATCCTATCCTAGTCCATCCTATCTCCTCCTTCCTGCCTTCCTCCCTGTTCTCTGCCATTCCCTGTAGGTCTGCCTCTTGGGTAAACACTCTGCCCAGAACCAGCAGAACCGTCCATTATCTCCCCCAGCCTATTAAGGAACTCTATGCAAATGTGCACTAATTGACCCAAGACACAGCAGCTCCTGGAGGAGAAGGATGACTCCAGATGGCTTAATGATAGGGATTTAGAAGTCCCTTCAGAAGTCCCTCTTGGGGAAGAAAGTGATCTGCACTTGGAGAAGGGCTGCCAGCTGCCTCATGGGGTGGCCAGTGGACTGGGTGACCTGCACCTTGGGTCCCTTTCATCAAACCACTGTACAAGGGAGACTGTCAGCTCACCCCTTCATCTCTCTCCAATCCCCTGACCCTTCCTGCAACATGGCCCCTTCCCCAGAGCCCACAGTTTGGATATTTCGTTGACATGTACCTCAGTGGGTCTCTGCCTTTTCAAATAAATTATTGTCCCCCCTTTTTAAATAGACTTTTAAAAAGCCATTTTAGATTCATAGCAAAATTGAGCGGCAAGTACAGAAAGTTCCCATATAACCCCAGACCCTCCTCCAACAGCCTCCCCCTCCATCAACATCCCGCACCAGAGTGGTCCCTTTGTTACAGTTGATGAACCTACACTGACACATCATTATCACTCAAGTCTGCAGTGTCCATTAGGGCTCACTCTTGGTGTTGTACCTTCTGTAGGTTTGGACAAATGTATAATGACATGTGTCCACCATTATAGTATCATACGGAGCAGTTTCACTGTCCTAAAAATCCTATACTCTACCTACTCACCCTCCCTCTAGCCCTCAGCAACCACTGATCTTTTTACTGTCTCCATAGTTTTGGCTTTTCCAGAATATCATATCATTGGAATCGTACAGTGTGTAGCTTTTTCAGATTGGCTTCTTTCACTTGATAATATGCATTTAAGTTTCCTCCATGTCATTTAGCCCTGAATAATACTCCACTGTCTGGATGTACATACTCCTTTGGGTAAATTCCCATGAGCATGATTGCTGGATCGTATGGTAAGAGTATGTTTTGTTTTATGAGTTGCCCTTTGAAGACTAACTGTAGCTTATTGAGCCCTTTTGGTATACCTAGCACCATGGTAAGAAGAGACAAATGAAAAGTTTTCTCATTCAGTGCTGTCTATAACCCTGGAAGGCTTGGTCCTACGAGATCAAGGACTCAAGTCTTTCTCGGGTCCTTTGTCTCTTCTTTGTCTCGGTTCAGTGTCTCTTCTCTGCTCAGCTACTTTCTTCTTCTTCTCTTTGCAGACTTAACTTTTGCTCTTTCTTTGGGCACCTGGTGACAGCTCCTGAGGCTACAGGTCCATAGTCTAAGTGATCAGCAAAGATGTGAATGTCTCAAATCCCAACTCCATATTTCTGGGGCCAAGAATGGATTGACCAGTTTTAGATCTGAGCCTACCTATTATCCACCGGCAGTGCCAGTGGGAAGGGTAATATGCTGCAAACACAGCCCCTAGGGTCTGCCTCTGTAAGCAAGGGGTGGGTGTCACATACTAGACAGATTCCTCAAAATGTGTCCTCCACACCTACCTTAGGTAGTCACCAATCATTGCACCAACTCATTGAACCTTTATCTTTTTCTGAAGTCTGGGCAAAGGGTATTGTCATGAGAAGAGGTAAATGTTTTGTTTAGTTGGCCAAAGTTGTGGCAGAGAATGACTACCTACTAAGAAACTGTCATGACAGGTTTAGCATACGGTTAAGAGTGCAGGCCCCAGAGCCAGGCTTCCTGGGCTCGAAGCCTGTTCCACCACTTGCTAGCTGTGTGATGCTGCACAGATGACTTAACTTCTCTGATTTCCTAATCTGTAAAATGGGGCTAACAAGTGGAACCTTTCTTATAGGGTTGTTGTAAGGATTACAAGTTACTCTCTAGACAGTGTCTGTCACATAGTTGGTGCTCAATAAATACTAGCTCACATTATTATTAGGGTGCTATGTATTTTAAAAACAGTAGCTCATTTAACCCTCCTACCTTTCCAATGAGGCAGGGTGGATTGGCTCTATTTTGCAGGTGAGAAAACTGAGTCACAGAGAGGCCCCTTGCTGAAGATCACACAGCCACCACCGCCCTGAGGCAGGTTCAGATGCAGGAGTGTGTGACTCTGGCCCTGACCCCTTTCCACGTTTCCTCTCCGTGGCCATTCCTGTCCATAGTGGCCCACCCTGACCCTGCAACAAGCGAAGATGGCTGTAAAGATTGCCCATGGAGCAAGAGGCACTAGAGTCATTACCCAGATAAACAAAATTTTAATATTTATTTATAACGGACACCATATGCTCCCTCTGATTTTTTTATTTAATTACATCATGGCAGATGGCTGGGTGTTAAAGGCCATTAAGCTAATGGCACTTTGCCTTCTCATTTATTTTCTTGAGTTTTGGGGAAGATAAATGAAAATGGACATGGTTGGCAGGCTGTGAGCGTAGGGTAGTGCTGAGTGAGTTTCCTTCCTGGGAACAGAGGGAAGTGTGGGGACCCAGGGGATTCTTTCTGGAGGTGGGGTGAGCAAGTGTAGGGGGCAACATACGGGTGTGCCTAGGAACCTGGTGAAGCTTTCCTGGTGTGTACATGCTTCCTGGTCAAAAAAGTGGGATTGTTGTGTCAAAGATTCTGCAGAATTGTTGCATCAAAGATCTGCAGAACCACAATATATCCATCATGAGCACGATGGAATCATTAAACTACAGCACACCAATGAATGGAAGGGTGTGTCCCAGAGAGGGTCCACCCACTGTACGGGGTGCAAAAGCCTTCCCTAGGGTTAGCTGGGTTACTAAAATTCTGGATTCCTAAGACAATGAGGGAAAGGATTTGGCATTTATAATGGCATTTCTTCTCAAGCTGTTTCATTAAGTCTTTCACTTGCCAAATGGCTGGTCCACCACCAAGAAGGGTGAGAAAGAACTTTGATTAAAGGAATTGGGGGTTATCTACCTGAGAAGTGTTCGAGGCATGGCCATCCATATCTTCAGGCTCAGAAAGGTTCCTTTCATCAAGGCTTGGATTCAACTGAGGGATTAGTGGTTAAGACAGGGAATAGCTGCCTTGCTGGTCTGCATAGTGTCCGCCATGGCATCATGACACTGAGGCTCAGTTTTGCACTTGAATTCATGCTCCACTTTTTGTGTGTCTGGGCAAGTTACTTAATCTCTGTGAACTTTAGCTTTCTCATCTGTAAAGTGGGTATAATATGCCGATGTCTCATCATTGTTGAAAGGTCCTATATTGCTTTCCGGGGATCTGTATAAAGATTTACATACAGGATGTTTATCATAGCGTTACTTATTTATAAAAGAGGGAAGACTGGAAATATTTTACATGTCTATGATAAGGAAAAGGTTGAAAAACCATTGATATGATATGAATCAACCATATTGATTCCTATTCTAAGGAATCAACTATTCCAAGAAATGAATACCACTGATAAGTAGTTCATTTAGGAAATAAAGAGTATACTTACTCCTGTCCTTCCCTGAGCGGGGAAGTGAGACAGGGAAGGGAAGAAATCAATAAAGGGTGTATTATTGAGTCATCTGTTACAGAGGGTGGTTGAGGCTAAGTCCCACTGGAGAAATACACACTGCAGAGTTATTCCAGCTGAGGAGCAAGGGAGCTGGGGCATTTATACACCAACTCCCATCAGTCATATTTGCAGCTGCTTCCAAATGTTAATATTCTAGCATGTCTTGCCTGCCAACCACACAAGCACAAAAAGCATTCAAGGTGCTGGAGAAACCCCTCAGACAACCAGATGAACATTCAGAATTTAACTCTGTGGGTGGGGCACATATGGCATCTGTTACAGATCTACCAAACTGACCAAAAAGGAAAGGACTGACAACATTAAGTGTTGGTGTGGATTTGGAGCAGCAGGAATGCTCAAACTGTACTGGGGAAGTTGTGACTACAGCAACCTTGGAAAAAAACTGGCATCTTTTAGGATAATCATAAGATGCTCATACAAAAACAAAAACAAACAGACAAAAACTAGCGCTTTCACTCCTAGGTATACATGCACTCTACATTAATTATTATATACATGCATCAGGAGGGAGGTATAGGAATGTCTGCAGCAACTGGCAAGAGGAATCCATTCTATCCAAGCCACATGAGCTGAGAATTAATGAGGGAGAAATTCCGTGAAGGAAAATAGAGTCCTTGTATCAGAATGAAGGGGCACTGAACAGGCAAAACCACATGTATTCTCCAGAAATTATTATAAGATGTAGCATTTGCACCTAATACATATAGATATGATATATTTGTATATATTGACTTATTTAGTTCTCACGCTAACCCTAAGAGATAAATTATATTACATCATCACTCTATAGATGGGGAAACTGATGTTCAAAGAAGTTAATGACCACCTCAAAGAATGATAGTGGGGATTAAAAGGCACAATGGGAATAAGATGACTGGCATATAGTATGCGCTCAACAAACACCAGTGACTTCTGATATTTTTATTATTAGAACAAGACTGAAATTTTACCTGGGCTCCCCAGTTTCTTGGAAACTTCCCAGATGGGTCTCCTACCCAGAACTCTTAAGAAATCAAACCTTCATGAACCTGATTTCTCAATAGCTATTTCTCGGTGAAGCTTGGGTGGTCTGGGGGTCAGTTGGTCGCTGGGCCTGCCCAGTCCCTCCGAACTGCCTCTGCCCCCCAAGTCAGGTGCTGGGGATTACAGAGAGGGAGTCAGCCCCCTACCCAGCCTCACAGGCTTCCATTCTGGCCTACCCTAGCCAATAGAACCTGGAAGGGGGAGGCATAATTTTACTCCCAGGGGAGGTAAGGAACCACAGGGCAGGCTATGCCTCTGTTTTTCTTTCCCCTGCAGGCAGCTCTTCCCCACCCATCTTCAAGTTGGCAGCTCAACACCAGAGCCTCATTCTGGTGCTAAAAATAGTCTGTGTTTAGACACTTTGAGGCTCCTGCTGGAAACATGAACTGCAGTAACCAAATGCTGCCACTCCCACAAAGGGGGCCTCTCAGCCTCCTCCCTGTGGAAACTCATGCCAGCCCTGGGGGGGAGGCAGAGTAGAGGTCGTCCACCACATTTAACAGATGGGGAAACTGAGGCTTAGAGAGGTGTCACATAAAATAAAGGGGGATGAAGTCGTGATAGCCAGCCCTGTGGATTGTCTCATCGAATCCTCCCCACACCTCTGGGAGGGGCATTCTATGGTTGACTTAACTTTATAGAGAGAAGATGGCAGCTCAGAGAGATGAAGTCCCCTGTCTGGACCTCACACCTGTAAGTGAATGACAGGAGGGGATATTAATACAATTATAATCCTCAACATGCTATGAACAAATAGAGACAGAGAGAAGTGGGTTGCTGAAGGCCAACAGCCCCTGTCTCACCCAGGGTTGTAGACACATTATCTGTGGATTGTGAAGAAACATCACACCTGCCTTGCAGCTATCCCAGAGGGAGGAATATGGGAGAACGTATTTGTAAAACCTTCAAACACAGTATCCAGCATATAGTAGGTATTCAACAAATGCAGTTAGTTTCATTTCCCCATTACCTTTGAGGCAGAATTTCTCTCTGGAGAGAGATAGCAGAAAGGGACAATGACAGACTAGAGAGAGACTTGGAGAGACAGAGATGGAGAGAGAGGCAGGAGAGAGAGAATGACAGATGGATGTGGGAGGCAGGGGAGTCTGGGATACCTTTGAGGATATGGGGCTTTGGCTCAGCCGAATCCTGGAACCCTTGAACCCCAGAACCACCCAGTGCTGAGTAACACAAATGCTACCTCCACAGAGCCCTGGATTTACAGTTCTCCAAGGCTGTCACCTGAGTGTTTTGGCCAGTGTGTGAAGCCATGGTTGTAGGTGTAAGCCCTGGGGGGATGAACCTGACTCTTTTTACTCATTTTTCTCTACCAGTGTTTCTTGGGACCCTCCTATGTATCAAATAGCCTTATCCCCTCCATGGGGCTCAGCTTCCAGGGGGCTCTTCCTCTGGGCGAGCCCCTGCCTCCTCCTAGCACCGGCAGGATGCTGTGGGATGGCTCAGGTCAGCACCTTCCCTCCCCAGGAGAAAAGGGAGCTCTGAAAGTGGGGGGTGGACACAGCCCCTCTCCACACGGTCCACATCCCTCCGGCAGATCTCCTTCATTTTCCACATCACCCATGCCTCAGTCTCATTCTGTTCCCTGCCAGCCCCTAATGAGCTCATTATCCTCTTAAAGCCCCTTTCGCACCCACTTAGAGAAGAGATGTGTTGGAATATGAAAGAACGAAGAGGGAACAATGAAAAAGGACTAGACCCAGAAATATCCTGAGAGAGGCAGAAAGCCACAGGGAACACTACAGCTGAAAACTTTGCTGTCTCCACGACAGCAAATGTGCTGAGGTGGCAAATGGCTTTCAAGTGTCTCACATGTGCCCTTGAGGGGCGGAGGTGGGGCTTATCTTGAGCATCTCCTATGCATCAGGTATTCCTCCTACAATGTTTAATTCAGTCCTTCCAGCAACATACTTTTTAGGGGAGAAGTCAAGATCCTTTAGGCCACTTTACAGGTGAGGAACCTGAGTCTTGCTGAGAAGGGATGTCTTGCCCCAGTCACTCACCTGGGGTAATGGAAGAGGCAGGATTTGAACCCAGGTCTGTTTGCCTGTGGAGTCCACCTCTGTTCTTGCCTGAGTGCCTCTGGAAGGGCTGGTGTCCCCTTGCCCATCCCACGAGGACTGCTGGCTTTTTCTCATCCCATCCCAGCTGCAGAAACATCTGGCACGTGTTGGCACGACCATGAAACCTCAGTGGATTCTCATGTGTGTTTTTAGAACACAGTCCCAACTCCTGAGCTTGGCATCCAAGGCTTCCCATGGTCTGGCTCCTGCCCACTGCTTGGCTGTGTTCCCAGCCCACAGTCCCCCAAGCTCCTTTGTTTCTTACCCCTCAGTGATGCACCCTCATGTGGGCTGTTCCTCTTCCCTGGGCTAACCTTCTGTTGCTCCTTCACCCAGAGAATTTTGACTCCTTTTGCAAGACCTACTGGCTCAAAGACTCCTCCCTGGGGAAGCCCTCTATGGTTCCCCCAGGCAGTTGCAGACCCTCACTTCCCTGGGCTCCCACATTCCATGGCTTCTCAACCCAGGGTCCAAACCCCACCCTGATATTTTAAGCCAAATTCTGGGAGCTTATGTGCAAGGGCTTTTTTTTTTTCTGGGCATATATCTATAGTTGTCATGAGATCCTCAAAGAGTTACAAGACCAGAATAGACATACGGTTAGGAATATAGGCTTTGAAATCAGGTGGCACTGGGTTTACCATCCTGCTGCCACTTACTAGCTCTGTGACCCTGAACAAGTTACCTAATCTCTCTGATACTCATTCCCCTCTTGTGTAAAAATAGATATAGGTCTCCCTCATAGAAATGTTTAAATGAGAGTATGTATATGTGTAGAAGAATGTCTGGCATGTATTAACTGTCCAATAAACATTAACTATAATATTGATTGCTGTATCCTGTACACACATCTACTATGGGATTTATCATAGTCTGTCTAGCATAGTGATTGTTTACATTGCTTTCTCCCTCAGTTGACTCTGAATTCTCTGAAAGCAGGGACTGTGAATTATTTATTCCTGCATCTCAAACACACACATAGTAGGCAATCAGCATATGTTTTTAAATAAATGGAAGAATGAGTGGATGACTGGATGGGTGGAGAGTTGGATGGATGGATGGATGGGCTGCTATAGTTCAGATGGATAGATGAATGGATGTATAGTTGGACAGATTAATGAATAGATTAATGGTAGGTGGATGGATGGTTCAATGAATAGATGGGTAGGTGAACTGCCGGAAGGCAAATGGATGGATGGATGGATGGATAGATGGATGGATGGACGGATGGGTTAACGAATGGATGGGTGGGTGGATGCTGGATGACAGACAGATGAATGGTTGGATGGATGGATGGGTGGATGGATAGAGGGTTGGCTTAATGACTGGATGGGTAGGTGGACTGCTGGATGACAGACGGATGGATAGATGGACAGATAGTTTGACTTTACAAAGGCATGGATTTTTGTCTGTTTTGTTCACTTATTTATTCCAAGTGCCTACGAGGGTGACATAGTATGTGCTCAGTACTTAGTTCTTGAATAAATGGGATGGCAGACTCTACCTTAAACCACAGTTAAATGCCCACACTACTGTCTGGATTAGGAGAGTATGTTACAATTTGTATCTTCCATTGGCTGACTATGGAATCTCAGGCGTTGGCTAAGATGGTCATGGGGCCCCCTGCTGGTGGTAATATGAAAAAGCATTGGCTAAATGGGGTTTTCTGTTTTCTAATTTACATTCTATTTTTCCTCTTGACTGATGATCCTGAACATTTACTCATAAAGCTGTGGTACTCAACTCTCTGTGCTCATTACCATTATCTGAGAGCACCTGGTTACAGATGTGGGTTTCCCCCTCAACCAGACATTCTGGTTGGAAAGGTTAGGAATCTATATTCACCAGGCTCTCAGGTGATTCTGAATCAGTTGTTTCTCAGACCCACACCCGGGAGACCCTGACAAAGGGTGAGCCATGCTGGTGACCGGGAGGCTGTAAGGATGGGCTACCGTCTGGGGGGCTGTCTCTGAATTCTCAAGTGATGTCCAGACTATGTGGGAAAGAGGCAGAGTCAAAGAGACACTGGTTAAGAGCTGTGATTTGCGATTTGGACTGTCCTGGGTCCAGATCCCAGCTCCATCACTCACCAGCTGTGTGACCTCCATTTCCTCATCTGTAAAGAAGAGAAATAGTTACCTCTCATAGGAATGTTGGGAGCAATAAAGGAGACAAGTGTAGATGGCTGGGCACAAAGCTGAGCACATGGTAGACACTCAATAAACACTGAATGGACAAATATGCTGCTAAATAACCCTACTTTCCTTCTTTTTCCTTTTCCTTCTTGGATAGAGGAGAGGGGCTATGGATTTTATTTCTCCCACTAGAATGTGAGCTCTATGAAAGAGGGGATTTTGCCTCTGCCGCTCACAGCTTAATTTCCAGCACCTAGGACAGTGCCTCACACAAAGTAGGTCTCACTGAGTGTTTGTTGGGAAAAAAAATGAATGAATCTGGTCTGGTTCAGAATTGCCCAGGTTCAGCAGGTAGTTCAGCAAGGACCTTGAAAGTACTTTTCAGACTTAAGGTAATCCTTGGATCAGTATATATTTGACAAATATATAGGAAGTATGGAGCAAAGCAAACCACTGGCCCATAAGAACCTGTGCTTGTCCAAGACAAAGTTTGTCCCCAACTAGGGCCCACTAGGATCCAGGTCCCTAAATTCCCAGTTTGGTGTCAAGAAAAAGGCAGTGTTCTAGAAGACTCAGGGATGCTCTTTATCTAGCACTGCTCTTAAACTGTTTCATGCCATTGGTGGTTTCCTCCTCTCTCCGGGCCTCTGCATTTCCCTGTAGGATGCTCAAGAACCCTGTGGGTTCTGTGCTTTGGTGAAGGGGCTTCTCATGCCTGTGTCTCTGCTGTTTTGCAGGTGGCATCCCTGAGTCCTGATGCCTGACTGGATGGAGGCCCACCAGCTTCTGTTCCCATGAGGTAGAAAGGCCAAGCTTGGTCTTCAGCTGGGGAAGAGGCCAGAAACAAGGCCCCCAGTGAAATAACCCAGATCCATTGGCCTGAGGAGCAGAGAAAGGGCAAGAAGTGAACTGCAGCTGCTGGTAACCCTCAGAAACCTTCTCCAAGTGCTATTCTCACAGTTCTTTAGGAACACTCTGAAGTGAAGAACAATATGTAGGAAAATGGGACCAACTTATGTGTGTTCTGAGCCTCAAAACCCCCTTGTTGGCCCAAAGAAGCTCACCTTCAGTTTGGGAGGGCTGGTAAGCTCCATCCTTTCTCATGGCCTCAGCCAAGCATTGAACTTGCCCTCCCCTTCTGGCCTTGGTGATCACTTTTTCAGGAAGAGTGAGACTGAGGACCCCCAAGTGTTCCATCCCTAAGGAAAGCTTGGGAAACCAAGCCCCTTCCATCCTCTCCCAAGCACCCCAGCCAAGCCCCAGAGAGCCAGTCCGGAATGATCCCACTATGGCCAAGCTCTGGTTCAAATTCCAGCGGTACTTCCGCCGGAAACCTGTGCGCTTCTTTACCTTCCTGGCACTCTACCTGACTGCTGGGAGCCTTGTCTTCCTTCACTCTGGCTTTGTGGGCCAGCCCGCTGTCTCGGGGAACCAGGCGAACCCCGCTGCTGCAGGAGGCCCAGCTGAGGGTGCTGAGCTGTCCTTCTTGGGTGACATGCATCTGGGCAGAGGTTTCCGGGACACAGGTGAAGCCTCAAGCATTGCTCGCAGGTACGGACCCTGGTTCAAGGGCAAGGATGGGAATGAGAGAGCCAAGCTTGGCGACTACGGTGGAGCCTGGAGCCGAGCCCTCAAGGGGAGGGTTGTCCGGGAGAAGGAGGAAGAGCGAGGTAAGAGCGAGGAACATCTGGACACTGAGGGGCTGGGGAGAAGGGAGGAGATACTAACAATGTAATAACAGCTGTCAGTTTTCAGTGTTTAATAGGAACCAGCTGTCATATCATTGTAGCTATAAATAGTGCCTGCCATTATCATCCCCATTGCACAGAGGAGAAAATTGAAGCTCAGAGAGATGAAGCGGCTTGCCCAAGGTCACACAGCTTGTCAAGAGGCAAGTTTGGATTTGAACTCCACATCTATCAGAGGTCAAAGTCTGACTCTCCCCTGTAGCCTTTTACAGTCCTTGTTAAATATACATGAAAATAAAACAGTCAGCATTTATTGGGTACTTACTAGGCACCAAGTACTGTTTCCAAGCACTTTACATATATAGAAACATCACCACAACTGTAGGTGATAGATTTTATTTATTCCCATTTTAAAGATGAGGAAAGTGGGGTACCAAGAGCACAAGATTACA
Organism: Homo sapiens; assembly: GCF_000001405.40. NCBI lineage: Eukaryota > Metazoa > Chordata > Mammalia > Primates > Hominidae > Homo > Homo sapiens. The sequence goes on from NC_000012.12 coordinate 108,196,685, forward strand.
CAGCTAAGTGGCAGAGCTTCTGCTCCACCAGACTGTCTCTCAGTCCATCTTGCTGGGTCCCTTGGTGATGGATCTCAGGAGAGATCATTGCCCTGGATAGATTTCATTGCATTTTCTCAGCCATTTATAATCTAAAAAGGCTTTTGTTCATGACTGCATTACCTTATTTGATTTTCACTACACTTCATGGGCTTAAACAAGGCCCCTATTATCCTGTGCCCAGCTAACAGATGTGGAAACTGAGGCTTGAAGAAGGGAAGACACTTGCCCAAAGCTGCGCAGCTGGTCAGCAGCAGGAACGGAGTTTAAATCTGATTCATCTGGCCTGAATGCTCAGTTCTCTAAGGCTGTCTCCTAGAGTCCACTGGCATCTACCCATCCAACCAGCATGCTAGGGAGGAACCCACAACCCCTACAATTCATAAGATTAACACAAATGGACATTTCAGAAATCTGGGCCAGATGGTTTGGGAGAATAAACCACCAATCAAGGCAGATGGAAAATCTCACTAGCCTTTGTGTTCTACTGTGATTCAACTCATAAAAAACCCTTCTGCTACCATGGAAGGAAGCAGGATTAATGGAGGGAATTCATCTTGGAACACATTCTCCTGCCCCAGTCCTGCCCCCAACCTGGCCTGGGAACCATCTAGAAGACTCTATCTTTCTGCCCTCAGGAATTTCCTAGACTTCTGCCTCTTCAAGAACCAATGCTCACAGGGAGGCAAAGGAGATGTTGGAAGTGGTAGAATGGATCAGGGGATGTGGATTCATATTCCAGCTCCACCCCCACCAGCCATGTGGCCCAGGCAAATGGTTTTACCTTCTCCCGCCTCAGTTTTGAAATCTGTAAAATGGGGATTTTACTGGATGCTCCTGAGAGTTCAATGAGACAAGGGTGATGAAGGCCTAGCACTGAGTAGATGCTTAGAGGTGCTCAGGAAGTGCTCCTGGGATCTCCCGGGGTATCATCTTATAGGTATAGGTGAGGTGTGAAGTGCTACACCCCAGCCACTCCAAACTCCATTCTGGCCTTTGAAAGCCCCAAAGTCCTCACCAGCCAGCACCTTGAGATATGGTCCCCATAATGCTTAGGACAAATTCCAGACGCCTCCCACAGTCCAACTCTGCAACCTCATCTTATAACCCCACTCCCCTCACCATGCTCTGCCCCACTGTCCTTGCAGTTCACTGAACACACCAAGCCTGTTTCTATCCCAAGATCTCTGTATATGCAGTGCCTTCTATCTGGGATGCCGTCTCCCCAGATGTTTGCATAGCTCCCTTCTTCCTTTCCTTCAAGTCTTTAATCAAACCTCGACTTCCCATAGAGACCATCCCGGAGCATCCTAACTCAAATAACCCCACTTCCTACCCAGTCACAACCACAATCCCCGACTCTATTTTCATCATAACACTTATCACCATCTGAAAGCATCTCATTTATGTGTTTGCCTCTTTGTTTAAGATCAGCCTGTTCTACTGGACTGTCAGCTCCAGGAGGGCAGGGCTATTACCTGTCCTGCCTGTCTGTGTTCTATCAGCACCCGGGACAGCACCTGGCTAAGTGCTGTTGCTGAATACCTATTTGTTGAATGGGTGAATGACTGGATGAATAAACGAATGAATGACTATCCCTTTGCCTGGAGTACCTCTACATCGTTAGCTCTACTCTTCCTCCAAGTCTCATCTTTGCTAATCTTCAAGAAATTTTCCCTGATCCCCTTACAGGTTTGATCAAATGCTCCTCCTCTATGCTCCCTGGCATGGCCCTTATATGAATGGCAATTGTGTATGTTTGTCCATGTCCCCTGATAGAATATGAATTCCTTATGGTGTAGGTGATACAGAAACAACAACGTCTCTCATTTGTTGTGAGATTGAAATACTGCCATCAATGCTAATAATAAGGACCATTTCTTGAGTACCTACTTCACACCAACCACTTGTCTATTTGCTTTTCATGTATTATTTGAATGAAATGATATATGTAACATGCTTATAATATCCTCTGGCTCATAATAATAGGTCACTTAATAGTTGCTGTCCTTGTTATTTGTAGTAATATTAGCTGATATCTAGTGAATGATCATTACAGGCTAGACCATGTTACGTGTTTCATTGACTCATTTAATTACTACCACTCAGTAAGTTAGGGATTATTATTCCATTTCCCAGATGGCAAAACTGAGGTCCAGAAAGAAATCACTTACCGTAGTTTACACAGGTCAATAGTGGGGGAACCAAGGTTTAACACAAGGTCTGTTTAATTCCAAAGCTTGTGAGCATTCTTCTATACCATGCCACCTGCACCCCCACCATGCCTTACCCAGCAATCTTATATATTTTATAAAGTGCAGAGAGAAGGAAGAGAAAATAAGAACATAGCCCCAAGGCCAGGGCTCTCAGCAGACAGCCTTTGGAATCAGGCAGTGTTATCAAGAAAACACAAATCCAGCCTGTCCTTGATTAACTTATTCAGAGTTTAGCGAGGAAAGACAACATATTAGATTAACGCTAATAAAAATGAGACACTTCTCCGGCCTGACGCTAAACTCATTTTGTTTTCTCCAAGGCTGGTGAGGGCTCTGCTTGATGCAGTGATGCAGGACTCAGGCTGTAGAGGATTCAGAGCCCATCATGGCCCGGGAGTGGGAGGGGAGGAGCTGCACCCAGGCTGAGCTGAGGCTGGGCAGGAGTCTGAGTTCTTTGGTGTAACTGACACCTACCATGTGCCAGTCATTTACCTAGGCCTCTCTAGGTTCACATGGCCATGTGAGGGCCTGTACTTTGAGCAGCCAAATCAGGGTTCAAATCCCAGTTCTGCAACCTGCTGGCTGTGCAGCCTTGGGCAGGTCGCTTCACCTTTCTGACATGCCATTTCCTCTTTGGGATAAAAAGTACTTAACATCAGATGGCGTTGTGATGATTACATAAGGTCAATTCAGCATGTGCTCTCTAAGTGCCAGGTGCTGTTCAAAGCATTTACATCTATTACATCACATAATCTTCATAGTAATGAAGGAAGATAGACACTGTTATTAACTCCATCTTACAGGAGGGAAAGTCAGGCACAGAGAAGTTAAGTAACTTGCCCAAGATTACCCACCTGGGGGAGGGAGTAAACCAGTATGTGAACCCAGGTGTTGTGAGTCTTACACCTGAACCTTAAGCACTACATCACGTCACTTCTCAGTGTACAGAAAGTACATGCCAGCTATTATTATTATAATAAGCTTGCATACTACCTTAATACATGCCAGCTATTATTATTTATACTGTAATTTTGCAGGAGAAAATGGAGGAATAGAGGTAATGTGAATTTCCTAAAGTCACACAGCTAATCTGGGGCAGAGCCAGGAGCTGAACCCACTTTGACTTCAAAGGTTGTGCTGCTTCTATTTCCATGAGATTACAGAGAGGCTTGGGCTGGGTGTGAAGGTGGCCATGGGAAGATTTAGTCTGCATTTTTTTGGAAGGATAGCAGGAGCACCCACTTCCCATCTCCTCCAGCTGGAGATGCAATGGCTGCAGGTTACTGAGGTGCTCTGTGTCAGGGACTATTTGTCCATATTTTCCTTTCAGCTTCATATCAGGTAAAAATATTGAGTGCCATTTCACGGATGAAGAAACAGGCTCAGAGAGGTTCAATTATTTGCCCAACATCACACAGATGCCAAGAGGCAGAGCTGACTCCAGCCCGATTTGATCAGAGTCCAAAGCCCTTATTCTTAACCACTGGACTTATACTATTTCTTTCTTAAAATATAAGATCTCTAACTCCATTCATTCGTTCATTTATTCTTTCATTCATTCATTCATTCTGTATTTATCAAACACCTACTACATGCCCAGATCTTTGCTGGAAGGTGGAGATACAGGAATGATTCAAGCACAGGTTGTGAATATTCCTCAGAGGAAGAAGCTGTGCTTTTCCCCATTATAACACCTTTTCATTTTATTAAAAGTTCTTCTACAATAAGCCAAAATTATTTCTAATTTGAAAAAATAATGGACAATACTAAGAAAATTTAGAAAAGTTTTGGGGGACCCCAAAGGAGGGACCCCATTCAGTCATGGGGTATCACAACTGGCTTTCTGGGAAAGCATATAGGTGAGCTTAGTATGTAGGATCCTTATGCCTTGACCAAAGTGAGTGGTGCATCCCTTCTGCCCTGGGGAAGCCTAGATATGAGCAGGAAATTCCATCGCCGGTACAAGGAAACCCAGGCAGCACTGGGTGGTCTTCTGGAGGGACCACCTTCCAGTGTTTCAGAGAATCCCCAGAAGGAGAAAAAGTATTTCTTGTGTCTTCCTTCTGTGCCAGACCCTGTGATAGGCTCAATGCATCAAATTAATGTTACTTAGGTCACCCTTAACAATATCTTTGTATTAGCTTTCTCAGGCTGCTATAACAAAGTATCACACACTGGGTGGCTTGAACAACAGATATCTATTCTCTCACAGTTCTGGAGGCCAGAAATCTGAAGTCAGGGTGTTGGCAGGGCCATGCACTCTCAAAGGCTCAAAGGGAGACTCTGTTCCATGCCTTTCTCCTGGTTTCCAGTGTTCCCAGCCATCCTCAGCAATCCCTTGCTTGCAGCCACATTACTCCAATCTCTGCTTCCATTTTCACATGACCATCTCCTTTGCGTCTGTGTCTTCATATAGCCATCTTGTTATAAGGACACCAGTCATACTGGATTGGGACCCAGCCTACTCCAGTTTAGCCTCATAACAAAATTCCATCTGCCATGACCCTATTTCCAAATAAGGCCACATTCTAAGGAATTGGAAGTCAAGACTTCAACATGTCATTTTGTTGGGGTGTGGGTGGGGGGCGGGACAGGGCACACAATTCAGCCTGACAACCCTAGTTGAATTTTTGCTCCCACTTTTCAGGTGGAGAACTGCACCCCGAAGAGCTTGAGTAATATTTGAGGCTACTGCAGCATCATGTGTGGGATTTGAACCCAGATCTGGTTAGATCTGGTTGACTCCAGTACAGCATGAGGCCTCCTATTCGTGAATCTGTTCACAAACTATAAATCAGAGGCATACAAATTAGTTCATGTTTAGCTACCCTTTTAACAAATCACCTTCATTGAAGAGAGCAAAATTCCATGAAAAGATTAATTGTAGCAAAAGAAAAAAGTAAAGGAGGAAAAAAAACTGCCACCAGGAGGGTTCTTTTCAGATGCTGGTTTCTCTACTGGAGATAAATAGCCCAGCTGGGGTGACTTTGCCATTTCAGCAGTCTTCAGACCGCTGTGGAGATGAGCTGATAGATTGTGTGAACTTGGCCATTAATCCACCCTCAAGTGGCCTGTGATTTTGTCCCTGTTTTACATATCTGACCTCCTGTCTCCGAGAGATTCTGCTACCACAGCAGGATTTGAAGGTGGAGCCCTGAGGAACGGCTGAAGAGGATTTTAGCGGGCTGGCAGTAACCACGCTAATGAGCTCAGAAGGGTGAAACAACTCTGAGGACAGGGACCATGGTTGTATTGGTCGCAGCCTGCACCAAAGGTCCGTGGGAAAGGGGTCACCAGATCTTTCCCAAGACAGGAAGGAAACTGACTCAATATTGATATCCTGATCCATGGAGCTCAGTCCATTAATCAGGCCGTGATGCATAACATGCCTGTGTTTTCCAAAAGCATTAATAAAGGACCATGTATCTTCCTCTCCCTCCTGTTGACAGATAAGGAAACAGAGGGTCATTCGTTCATTCAACAAGTCTTTGAGCACCTGTTGTGTGGGACATCTCAGCCTGATGCCTGGTCTGGTGGGAGGGTGAGGAAGGGGACAGAGCACCATTTAAAAGCCCAGGCTTATAAAAAAAGAATAAGATCATGTTTCTTGCAGGAACATGGATGGATCTGAAGGCCATTATTCTTAGCAAACTAATGCAGGAACAGAAAACCAAATACTGCACGTTCTCACTTATAAGTGGGAGCTGAGTGATGAGAACACATGGACACAAAGAGGGGAACAACAGACACTGGGGACTGTTTGAAGGTGCAGGGTGGTAGGAGGGAGAAGAGGTGAAAATATAACTATTGGGTACTACGCTTAATACCTGGGTGACAAAATAATTTGTACAACAAACCTCGTGACACGAGTTTACCTATATAACAAACCTGCACATGTACCCTGCACTTAAAATAAAGCTTAAAAAGAAATAACTAAAAGCCCAGGCTTTGGGGAAGATGGACCTATGGTAAAAATCCCAGATCTTCTCCCAACGAACCACCCCACTTCCCAGCTCCATCCTCCTCCTGGGCAGGTCTCTCTGGGGAGACATCTCCTCCCAAGACATCTCCTCCCAATCCTGGACTCAGTGTGGCATATAGGAAGGGGCAACTTTGAATAGACAGACCTGGACATGGATTTGGTCTGAGACCCTCACTGTGGGGTGGACTCGGGCAAGTTGCTAAGCTTGAGTATCAGTGTAGTAGTTAGTGCTCCCCCTACCCTGGTGCCAAGGGACAAAAATCCACCTTGAACTAGCTTAAGCTAAAGAAGAAAATGCATTGTGTCATGTCATCAAACTACAGCAGTGGCTCTGCTGGACTGGATTTTTTAAATGAATAATTGGTGGTCTTCTTCCTGTCACTCTCATCTCTGCTCTTCTATGCCTTGGCTAGTTTGTTCTCCTACACAGATTGGCCTTGGTGCCAGGGACTGGGCTGGTGGTAGCTCTGGGGTTATAGCACCTGGGAGAGGCAGATTTCTTCCTCCCAGCTTTACTCTATCAGAATGCAACAAATGGGTCATGTGTCCTTCCTTGAAGCAAACACTGGCTGCTGGGATGGACAATATGATTGACCTTGCCAAGGTCATCATGTCTCCTGTGGTCAGGGAAAGTAAGGTCTGCTGATGGAAAAACCTATCTAGAGCAAATGCTTTGAAGGCACAAACAGTCCACTACAGTCCACCCCTTCACTCCATGATGGACACGCAATGGACATGCCCACATACATCTTTACTCCCATTAATTTGCTTATAAAAATCTTATCTAACATGATCCACTGTTCCATAGGTAGCCGAATGTGCCTATCCTTACCCTAAGGTGAAGTCATCCAAAGTCCTATCACATCCAACTTCAAGCCCAGCATTTCTGCAGCATGAGCATTCCTCCCCTTCAGGTCTTGGGGTGGCCAAAGAGAAATGAAACTTCCTCAAGTGTAAGATGGTTGGAGGACAGACCTGGGCTTTAATTTGAAGTGAGATGCTACAAGCTGTAGGAACTTGGGCAGATGACATAGGTTCCCATTGCATTTTGAAAAGAGGAAAAGCGGAAGTAACATGAGTAGTTACCAGTCAGAACATACACCATATGCCCAAACTAAGATTTGCTTCTAAGGTAAACAGATAGAAGAGTCACTATGATCAGTTGCCTCATCTCTAAAATGGGTTCATAAGAAGTTTGTGAAGATTGAATTTTTAAAAAATGAGACATGGCCCACAGTAAAGTAGATAGCACGTAGTAGGTGTTCAATACATGATAGTTTTGTCTCCTCTGTTTCTGTCTTTGTCTCTCTCTCTCTCACACACACACAGACACACAACCTGTTGATCTGCTGACAAAAACTTCAGGCCACCAAAATAAACCAAACTTTACCCCCTCTCTTCCCTTCCCTCTCTCTCCCACCCTACTCCATCATCCCTCCTTCCTTCCTTTCCTTCCTGCTCTTTCTCCCTCCAGCTCCCTGTATTTTTCCCTCTTGCCTATCCTACAATGCATCTTTAGACACTCAGTCCTCTAGGGAATGGCTGAACTGAAGTTAGTGTGCAGCCCTTGCCCACGTGGCCACAAAGTGCTTTCTCCCAGCTCAGGTGTGAACAGCATTCGTGCCCCAAGTCAAGGGCTGTGACTCCATCTGTGGTGGGAGGGGCGCGCGCTGTTGAACAAGCACAGAGACAAGACCCGGGCTTCTCCAGGGTTGTCACTGTCTGGTGTGCCTGCTCCAGGGAGATGATGCTTCTTTTAAAGATGGACTGTTCTTAGTCCAGCAAATCACCTCTGTCTTATGAAGGAAATTCAAGGTGATCAGGTCAAGACACATCTCCAGCGGGGCTGAAAAAATAGTGCACTTAGCAGAGCCGTGTTCAGGGGAATGATTGCTCAGTAATGAGCCTGCATTCTCTGCTAGATCCTGCTCTCCCCACAAGGAAGCAAGGAAAGAAGCTCAGTTTAAACCAGACAGCTGCCTAGCCAAAGAAGTGATTAAGTGGCATTTAGTATTTTCTTCAATCATTCCCTATAAGGGACATTTAATTCCAAGTGCTGGCTGGATCCCCGGTCTAACCTCCAGTTACTGATTTGGGGGTCTCATAGACCTGGATTTAAACATTTATTCTGTGAACAATTAGCTATGGGTCTTAGGGAGGCCACTTCACCTTTCTGGGCCGCTGTTAAATCATCTAAGATAAGAGCATGACAATGTCAATGTTCTCCACTTCACATGGGGGCATTACAAAGATCCCCCAACTCAAAAAGCAAGCAGTTCAGAGCACAGGCTCTGAAACCAGATTGCTTGGCTTCAATTCTGAATCCACACATATGAACTGTGTTACTTTGAGCAAGTGACTTCTCCGGGCCCTTTTCTCTTCTGTATACAACGGTAATAATATTCTCATAGGATCGCTGTAAGGATGCAAGGAGACAATGTATGTAAAGCACTTACCAAAGTGAATGTCCAAATAATAATAATAATAATCTTAAAAAACATATGGGAAAAGACATTATAAACTGTGAAGTGCTATTTTCATGTATAGGGGTTACTATTTACCATAAAGTGCAAGAAAAATGTTTACTACTTTAAGAAAACTAAGTGTATGATTTATAATTGGATGGTTATTTCACATTATTTACAATTTTCCTTTGAATGGAAACATTCACCTTGACCCACAATAGAGGCAAACTGTAAAGTACTTTACACAGCACTGTGAATGGCCAGTTTCTTATTCTACTCATCTTAATTTGATGCCTATCATATGCAAGACACTATGGTAGAAACTTTTACATAAATCATTCTATTTTAACCTCACTGGATTGTTATTTTTGTTCCTGATTCAAATAAAACTAGGTATCTGAAAGGTTAACTGGCTTAAACTTTCTAGGCCCATGCTAGGAGGTAAACGAAGTGAAATGAGGACCTAGACCTTGAGATAGCTAAGTCCAGGGCACTTTCCAAAGGAAAAATATATGTTTTAAGGCAGCTTGTAGAGATAGCAACATGTTGTCAAATGTTAAGCCTTTTAGAGCTGTCTTAATGCAAGAAATAGGAAGCTCTGTTTGGTGCTTAGGGAGTGGCCTTGGCTTGGGTTCCTGGATGCCCAGCTGTCACCAGGTGACCTCAAGGGCTTGGCTGCAGCCCACAGAAGGCTTCACTCCTCTCTATTGGTCTCCGCTGCCCTGATTAGACCAGGTTCTGCCAAGACAAATGACTTTCACTCTCTCATTTCTGCCCAAAGGAAGGACTTGACATTAAAAGGTCAACAAGGTCACATAACCAGAGACACATTGGTGAGGCTTCCTCCTGTAACCCTTGCAGCTTTGTCCCCAGCCACCTTTGACGTTTTCCTTTCCCCAAAGCCAAGTACATCGGCTGCTACCTGGATGACACCCAGAGTCGGGCCCTTCGAGGAGTGTCCTTTTTTGACTACAAAAAGATGACCATCTTCCGTTGCCAGGACAACTGTGCTGAACGGTAGGGTCCCAGCATCCCAGACTTGTCCATTTCAGGCCCTTCCTTCTCAGATTCCCACCTGTGGTATTCTTTGCCCTGCTATGGGAGGGTGTGTTGAAGGGTGAGCACGTGACCACAGGAAAGGTTGACGCAAGGGTGTGTGTGCATTGTGTGTATGTGCATAAGCACATCCACACAACTGAGGACTGCTCAAGAGTTGGTCTATGGGAGTCTGTGGTTGTGCAACTGTGTCATATTGTGTCTAGGAACAATTTTGTAGCATACAGGGTACAGGGTCAGCTAGCTGTGTTTGTGAGCTTAATGCCAATATGCAATGATCTTTAAATAATAGTGGCCGTGTATGCAGGAGTCTTTGTGAATATGTGTGCAAGGGCTGAGAGTTGTGCTTGTGTGTGTAGGTGTCTGATTGCATTTGTTGAATGTTCAACAGTGTGTTGAGAGCATGCAAGGTTGTGAAGAATTGCACACAACTTAGAAATGCACCATTAGATGTGCATGTGCATGCAGATGAGTAAGCATAAGGCTTGCAAGATGTCCAAATGAAGGGTAAGGTGAAGGTATCTAATAGTTTCTCAATATATAAACTCCTTGTTTTTCTCCAAGGGAGAAACACTTGCCTGTTCAGACAGTGTTTTCCAATCTAAGAAGACAACGATGATTTTTATTAGACATGCACTGGGACTAGGGGGGAGTGAGTTGATGTTTTGAGAGTGGACAAGTCCCCAGAGGCCTGGTGAACAGGGACAGGACCCCTGGGGGCACCATGGGGCTGAGCTGAGCTTCTCTCCTTGTTTCTTGGGCCCCTTGACCTTGTAGTGGCTCATGAAGAGGCTCTAATATGCTCACCTTCAGGCTCCAGGTGGCTGTCTCTGACGGTCACAAGCTCTGCCAACCTCAGCTGCATGCCTGGTGTGGAAATGGGCAAGTGGATGACCCCTGAGAGACTCTTCCTGCTGTTCTTTATTTTTTATTTTTTATTTTTTTGAGACAGAGTCTTGCTCTGTCACCCAGGCTGGAGTGCAGTGGCATAATCTCGGCTCACTGCAACCTCCGCCTCCCGGGTTCAAGCAATTCTCCTGCCTCAGCCTCCTGAGTAGCTGGGACTACAGGCGCATGCCACCATGCCTGGCTTTTTTTTTTTTTTTTTTTTTTTTTTGGTATTTTTAGTAGAGAAAGGGTTTCACCATGTTGGTCAGGATGGTCTCGATCTCCTGACCTCGTGATCTGCCCACCTCGGCTTCCCAAAGTGCTGGGATTACAGGTGTGAGGCACCAAACCCAGCCCCTGCTGTTCTTGATTAGGAAACACTGTCCCCTTTAAAATCAGCTGCCTAGGGAGCCCACTATTAAAATCCTGAGCCCAGGACCCTCTCCAATTTGAAAAGGATTCCAAGTCCTTGATAATATGAAATCACTAACTTATCTGTCAAACTTGGGTGCAGGGGGGCGGGGGAAACAGAGGTGCATTCTACACAGCCCCTGGCCTTAATGAGCTCACAGCCGGCAAGGGGAGACAAACATGTAAACAGAGAGGGATAACATAGTCAGATAAGGGTTGAGATGGAAGAATCGCAGGCAGTTAGACATGCAGACAAGGTCTAAGCTGCCTGGGGTGAAAGGAAATACTTCTCAGAGAAGGTGTCAGCCAAGATAAGTCAGAGCTACTCATGTAATTCAATTTGGTTCAGCAAATATTTGTTGACTGCCAGTGGGTGCTGGACCTGATTCCAGGTGCTGGAGATGAAGAGATGAGCCATCCACAGCCCTGTCCTCAGGGGGGCTTCCCATCTGGTTGGGGAGATAGAGGCATGAACAATAGGCTTGGGCAATAGAATAACAACAGTTTATAACAGTTAAAAAGCACTTGTTCTGTGCCAGGCACTGTCTGAGCATTTTGCAAATATTAACTGTTTAACTTCACAAGACCCCTATGAGGCAGGAATGCTATGAGCCACATTCCACAGATGAGGAAACCAGGGTACAGAGACATCAAGTATAATGGGTGCTGGGGTGGATGTGCTTTGCAAGGTGCAGGAAAGTCAAGAAGATGGAAGGGATGGAGGGCTCCATGTGGAGGGTTTAGGAAGAGTTATCACAGTGAGACCATAAGCTGGGTTTTGAAGGATGAGTAGGAGTTTTCTAGGTAGGGCAGAAATAACAGCATGCTCAAAGGCCAGGACTCCTGAAATACACTGAAACACTCAGGGTGCTCAGGTAGGCAGCATGGGAGTACACAGAGGGTACAAAGGGAGTATCAGGAGGGGAAGCCACAGAGGTGTTCAAAGCCCAGTGAAATGGGGACTTGAAAGCTAACTAAAGCATCCAGATTTGACCAGGAGGGCAATGGGGAGCCACTGCAGGGTGTCTATCAGGGAAGTGGTCTACATTCATTCTATGAATGTGTATTAATCATCTGTCATATGCCAGGCATTGTCCAGGGATAGGTGGGCAAGACCCACAGGGTCACTGCCCTCCTGGATATTATATTCTAGAGAATAAGAACAAAAGCAATTTACAAACTACATTAAAAATCACTAATATCATTTCAAAAGTGATGAGGGTGTCTAAAGATATTATATTCTAGAGAACAAGAGCACAAGTGCTCCCTCAAGCCTCTTTTATGGGTTTTCCTGAACCTCAGTTTTCCTCCATCTCAGGTTTTGTCCTTCCTACTCCCAGAGCCAGAGCAAGCAATGCTCTTTTCATTTGTTTACAGAGTGGGGTAGCCACTAAGCGTCCTTTTTAGGAAAGGATTCCATCACTATGAAAAATTTCAAAAAAACTTGAAAACCTTGCAGTGCCTGGATTTTTATTTTTAGGAATAAATATTTCCTTGATGAATGTGTGAGCTCATTTTTGTCTTCTCTCGAAGGGGTGTGAGAGTCCCTGCCTCCCTCATGAGCTCCCTGTGCCTCTTCCCCTCACCCTAGCTCCTCTCAAGGGACAAGGAGGCACCATTCCTGGGTGATATTTCCAAGAATAAAGAAGCTGGACTCTGGAGAGATGAATGTCTCAGGTTTCCAGACAGGGAAAAGCAAGAAAGAGAGTGGGGTAGGGGAGACCACAGGATCTGGGGTGTGTGTGTGTGACAGGTGTACCATGAGCAGGTGTGTACAGGTGAGTGTGAATATGGACATGGTGTGTCTATGTGAGTAGGTGTAGAAGGGTGAAGATGAAGGCAGGTGGATGGTCCCTGGGTGTTCCTGTCCCCTCCCTGGGTCTCTATGTCCTCTAGGGGCCTCCCTGTATTCCTTCTTGGCTTTCCTGCCTCCACGCTGCCCCACTGCAAGGCCAACTCTGCAGCCTCCCTGACTCCTCTTAGGGTCTCCTTATCCCAGACCCAGATCCCCCTGCCCCATGGAGCATGCCTGTCTCACAGATCTCCTGGAGTCTCCCTGCCCACCTCAGGGTCTCCCCTGCCCTCTTTCCAGGGTCTTCCTGTGTGCTACCTCCCTAATCTCATTTATTTGGTGTCCCCCTGTCTCCCGAAGGCCCCCATCTCCCAGGTCTCCACAATGGGTGGGTCTCCTGTCCCCTGAGGTCTCTCCTGTCCCCTGGGGTCTCCCAGTTGCCCCAACCTCCCATCAGCAGTCTCCCCATTTCCCCTGGGATCTCCTGGTCCCCAGAGCCCTCCCATCCCCCAGGTCTCCATGTTGTGTCTCCCTGCCTCGGGGTCTCCATGGTGGCAGCTACCCTGCTTGACAGCAGCCTCCCCCAGGGGTTACCTGTATGGCGGGCTGGAGTTCGGCGCCGAGTGCTACTGCGGCCACAAGATCCAGGCGACGAACGTGAGCGAGGCAGAGTGCGACATGGAGTGCAAGGGCGAGCGAGGCAGCGTGTGCGGCGGCGCCAACCGCCTCTCTGTCTACCGGCTGCAGCTGGCCCAGGAGTCGGCCCGCAGGTGTACGTGAGTCTGCCCTGCCCCTCTCTGCTGCTCCTCCCTCAGCTGCAGCCCTTGCCCACCAAAGAGTCCCACATGTCTGCCCTGTACCCTCCATGGCTCCCCATCACTCCAAGGCCACCACCGTCCTGCCCCTGCCTCACCTCTCCCACTCCCTCACAGAGCCCTTTGCCCCAGCTCCTTTGAATGGTCCTGCATGCGCTTTTCTCTCCCTCCCACTGAGCTGCGTCTGGTTCCAGCTGTATCCCTCATTCTCACCAGTCTTCCTCCTTCTGAAACTGAGTTGGAGCCTGAGCCTCGCCTTCCCATCCTGATTTTCTCAGAGCAGACTGTCTCTAATGATGATGATGGTGGTAATGGCAATAGCAAACACTTTGTCCTTTTCTCCATGCCTCATATAGAATAGCACATCTAATCTTCACAATGACCCTTGACATAGGTACTATTATTTACTTATTCCCATTTTACAGATGAGGAAACTGAGTCTCAATGTCATAAAGCTTGTAAGCAGCAGAGAATTTAAACCGACTCTGGAGTCCTTGATGCTTTCAAAGAGAGAATTCATCCTGGCTTTTTCAAGCTTCTGGTTTGAGTCTTGTTGGAAAATCTCTCTGATTTCCAAACCAACAGAAGGAGGGAGTGAATAAGAGGACAGGAGCTGGCTCCTTGTCTGAGGGCACTCCTGGGTCCCCTCCTGGGGACTGGGGAGGAATGTTTAATGACAGCTAGTAACTATTTATAAATAATCTGCTGTATGCCAGGCACTGTCCTAAGCCAATTACAGACCTGATTTCATTTACCTTCCCTACAGCCTTTTCAGGTAATTACTGTTGTTCATTATCCCCAACCAGTCCAAGGTCACATAGCCTAATTCCAGATGACCTTAAGACCTATGAGAAGAGTTAATGGGCTTGATAAAAGATGGGGGGTGCTGACCTTTCTGGGGGTTACCCCTCCCACACAGTCCAAGGACAGAAGCAGAAATCCACAGCTGCTTCTCTAGCCCTCTGGCCAGTGCTTCCCAGATTTGCATGTGTCTGAGAGTTCCCCTGGGAGATCTTGTTAAAATGCAGATTCCAATTCAGCAGGTTCAGGGAGATGCTGCATTTCTAAAGAGCTCCCAGGTGATGCCAGGATGCTGGTCCATAGACCACATTTTGAGCCTCTGTGGATCTCGTCCAGAATGTAGTCCTGCCCACCCGGGTGGCTTTAGCAGAAAGTTAACAGCTAGTCTGTTTGCAGAGAAGGGCCTCTTGCATGTGAATTTCATCGTTTATAGAAACTCATTGTTTGTTTGCTTGAAAATGTGTCCAGTGTTTCAAATCCCATATATATATATATATATATACATATATATATATATTTTTTGAGACAGAGCCTCACACTGTTGCCCAGGCTGGAGTGCAATGGTGTGATCTTGGCTCATTGCAACCCCCGTATGCCAGGTTCAAGCAATTCTCCTGCCTCAGCCTCCCAAGTAGCTGGGATTAGAGTTTCCCGCCACCATGCCTGGCTAATTTTTTTTTTTTTTTTGTATTTTTAGTAGAGACAGGGTTTCACTGTGTTGGCCAGGCTGGTCTCAAACTCCTGACCTCGTGATCCACCCACCTCAGGCTCCCAAAGTGCTGGAATTACAGGCATAAGCCACCACACCCAGCCTCAAATCCCATATTTTTGAAGCTCCATTCAAGCTTTGCTGTGCAATAGGGTCAAGCATGCGGTCAATTTGCAAACTGGCTGGTTTTTCCAAATTAACTGCAACTTCCACCTCCCCATAGTCACATCAGTTCAGGTATGAAGCCCTAGGAGGGCAGAGGGCAGAGGACAGAGGTAGCATGTGAAATCCAGGCCAGAGAATGTCCATAGAGTGGCTTTGTGGTTTGGCTGCTAATATTATGAGTTTTTAACTTAGTGGCAGATTTGTCACCTTTACAACTGATCGCCTTTATGTCAATATTTATGTTATGTTATTTTGATAGCAACATTTGGACCATCTGAAGAGATGACCTGAAAGTCAGGGATATTTATAGGGAAAGCTGCTGCCAGTAACACATCCTAGTGGATGAAGCTGAGACAGATAACAAGAATTGGACTGTGTATGTCATTAGCCAGACACTAGCCAGACCTCCTTTTGGTTAATGTTCAGGTTGGCTGAATAACCTGGACACACTCTCTCTCAATATCTCTTTCTCTCCTCTCTCCCCTCTCTCCTTCTCCCCACCTCTCTCTTCCTCTTTCTCTCCCCCACCTTCCTCCCTCTCTCTTCCGCTGTCTCTCCACCCCCATTTCTCTCTCTCTCTCTCTCTCTCTCACACACACACACACACACACATTCAGACACACACACACACTGCTGTGATCACCTTGTATTATATAATAACACTTTCATTGGCCATGGGTGAGCTGGGGGGCTGCTGGCAGGAACAATGCTGCACCCCTCACCTGCCCCCTTCTGTGTGGCACAATTATTTGGGTGGTGCTTTGTACCATCTGAGAATAGCATTTTTGTATTATGTCCAAGAGGAAGAAACACACTTATTTCTACTGAGAGTGGAGTCCTGGATTCTCTAAAGTCCATCACCGTTGTTCCGAATCATCGCCATGTAAGGTTTGAAGCTTGAGCACCTTCAGCTGGAGACCCTAAAAGAAAATCTAAGCCTTATTAGCCTTGAGGCTACTAAGGCTGAGACTTAGAAGGGAGGCAGCTTGGACAAGGAGAGAGATGGTTGACAATGTTTCAAATCCAGTTGGCAACATGGTATACAAAGAGAGTGCAGGGACCATTCATTGAACCAAAACACTTGATGAGCTCCTCTGTGGATGAGGTATGGAGAGGCTCAGTGGTCAGTAAAGCACAATGCCTGACCTCAAGGAGCTTTCCATCTCATGGGGCAACAGACCTGATACTAATGAAATTGGTTCAACCATGAGTTAAAAGGATAATTTTGTGCAGACCCAATACAAGTAGGATTGGTTGAACCACAGACCCAGAGGGCTGCGGGGGCTCTGTCTTCAAGAGCCAAGGGAGCAACTTTTGAGCTGAATCTCATTCTGAGAGGATTCCAGGTGAAAGGGACAGCCATGTGTTCTAATTCATGATCAAAAGTCCAGAGTCAGCAAAGGTCATGTGTTGAATGCTATGTTGGAAGCACCTTTCTCACTGATGTCTGCATTTTATATTTGTAGAAACTGTGGCTCAGAGAATAGAAATGGCTAAATTGAACAGCACTGGGGGAGGCTCCACAAAGAAGGGGGCAGCTCGATAAAGGAGGGGACATTTGACAAGAGCCTTGAAAGGTTGTTGCCTGGCAGAGAAGAGGAGGATACCCAGACTCAAGACAAATCACCAAGCAGTGGGAGAGGAATTAGGCAAATAAAAGAGTGCACAAAAGCCTGGTGCCTATTGCAGGAAATGACTGGCAGGCATGGTTTTTCCAAGGCTACTGTGCCTCTTAGGGACTGACCATGGGCTTGAACCCAGGTCCATGAATCCCAGTTAGTATACCCACTTGCTACAGTGTTGTAGACACCCTGACCCTGGAATTTGGTTCAGAACACCATCTCTCTTTTAGGGGAGCTCCTTGGCTCCAGCTCATCTCCTTCCTTCCCTGACCCTGATCCCTCCTTCCACCTTGTTTCCAGACTCTAGGCAATGTGAAATCTGCAATGTCTTTGCTCTGACTCAGTGGTGCCTTCGATTTCCTAGGATTATGCCTAGGATTTGCTTTGTACACAAAGAAGTCAGAAAGGGATGCCTTCCAAGTCACTGGCACACAACTCTGGCATGTATTACATCAGGCAAGAGAAATGAGCGAACACTCCAGCAAACAGCTATGGCAGAAACCAGATTTCATTTGTAGAGTCATTAGTTGGTATTAACACTGTGTCCTAATTGTGTTTTCCTAAGCAGTGGCACAGAACCTTTAATGATTGGAGAGATCTAAAGGAAGGTTTTTATCTCCCAAGGACCATTCTGGTGGGGCATCTGCCTCGCACAGGATGCCAGCCTACGTGTTTCTGAGGTGAGGTGATGGAATGTTCCCATAATAGTGAGAGCATTAAAAGGTTAGCAAAGCAAATGTCTGCAGGCACCCTGCTATTCTGCCTTGACACAGACTCTCGGGCACGTGGACTCTTTGCCCTTGTTACAAAAGAACTGAGAAATGGACTTCTTTCTTGGTCAGATTACATTTTTCACAGCAGTTTGCTAAATGTGTCGGCAAGTGTAGCTCTCCTCCCAGGGATAGAGACCTGCTGGTGATTTGAGAACATTATGGCTTTACGCGATGTTGCAAGAAATTTCATTTGCCTGAAAGATTCTTGCAAGATTTGGGTTGCAAAGTTCATCAGAACGGGGCTCCTGAGTCCCAAGGGTGGCTGTCCATGGTGCTGACCACTGCACTGCCTAAAACCCCAATGATGGCAAATCAGCCTCTCCCAGGGATGTGTACTTTTTTCCTTTTGTTTTTTCCTTCCTAGTTTAGTGAAGACATTATGAAGCTTACACTATCACTGAAAAAATAGATACCTTGTTTATGGTTCACAATTTTTTACATGGTGGTTTTTGTGTACTGTTGTTAATTCCGGCAATTTTTTGTCTCCCAAAGTTAGGAGAATTTTGTGCAGTGCTTTGCTTTATGTTCACTGATACTCCATTCCAACTACTTTTACTGAGGGGAACCCTCAGATGATTAGGGGACAGTCACATTTGCTGGAATGGACCATGTCTAGTTCCTTCTTTGCTAGACCTGGAGGCTTCTTCTACTTCCCTTTGCTGTAGGTCTGGGAGCCCTGAATTTCATAATTCATATGGGACCCCATGAGCTCTTCTCTGTAGGGCCAAGGGAATGATAGAAAATATTTCTTCTTCTGCATCATGATGGGAGAGAATTGGTTTGCTCTTCTCCCCTAAGCAAAATCTAGGCCATTGGACAGGAAAATATTGGGAGCAATGCAGGTTTTGGAATCAGGCATAATGTTTCTATCCCAACTCTCTCACCTGATGGCTGTATTGACTTTGGCCAAGCCACTCGTTCTTTCTAGGCGTCTGGTGCTTCGTCTATAAAATGAAGACAATCCCAATCTTTCACAATTTCTGGGGCCACCGAGTGAGGTAAAGACTAGAAAGCACCTAGCACAGTGCCTGTTACAGAGTAGCTTTTTCCTAATGGAAACTCCCCAATTCACTCCGAGAAGCACCCAATTCAAGTGATTTGAATTTCCAACAGCCCACAGGAGCCTTTGGTAATGTCTAAAAATAGCTGGCTTGAATTCTCTTTGGACAGTTAGGCTCTTTGTGTAATTCAATCTCTCTCTGATTATAGGTAGCTAGGTAGCCATTAACAGCTTCCAGCTCACTGCCTTTCCTCCTCACCAGCATCTTTAATGCAGTGGAGCTTGGCCTAATTACCCAGGGGTTGGTGGCTTCTTTCAAACCAAGGAGAACTCTTCCACGGCTGCCTCTAAGCTGATGCCTGGTGACATTTACCTCATTTTTGTGAAGCTCCAGAACAAAGAGATGATAGGACTTCAGAGACACTTGCAGCTGGTTCCGGGCTGTTCTTCATCTGCCCCCAGCAAAGGGAGTTGATGAACAGTTGCTCTGCTTGCTTCTTGCTAGTAAAAAGCCCAAGCTGCTGAGGTCATGTACCATCCCAGCTAGCCTGGCAATGCAGAGCTGACATTGTCAGAATGTGGGGCATGGGCTTTTGCAATCCTTGGACTCCCACTGTGGGGCCGAGAGGATTTCTGGAAAATTCAGGTAGCTGGAATGGGGGTCTATGGAGCCCAACTTGTTAAAATTGAGCAGATCTTCTTCAGGATAGTAGAGATGGGAAACAAGGATGTGATGTCAAACAAGATTGGGGTCAAATCCCAGCTCTGCTCCCTACCAGCTGTGTGACCTGGAAAAGTAATTGAATCTTGCTAAGTTTCAGGGTCTCTGCCTACAAAATAGGATAATAATATTGTTCACCTCATAGGTTGCTGTGAGGATTAACTGAGATATAATACACACAACATACTTAGCACTAATGACATAGAGTAAACAGCTGTTATTACTGCCATCATTGCTATTATATAGAAAGGTTTGATCATTAGGAAGATGCCATCCAGGGCTACTGCTGTTGTCATTCATGACTCCAGGGAGTACCATTCACATAGACTATGAGCTGTGAAAAGCAGTGGCCCTGAAATCTGTGAAGGATTTTCCTTGTAACTGAAAGTGCTCAAAGATCCAAGGTGTTTTAAGTTGGGTTCCCCCAATACAGGGATGTGAACCTTGGCTACCTGGAAGGTGTTGCCAAGATGCACCCATAGGGGACTAGAAAGGTTAGATGGGGAAGAAAGCTAATACAGGGTCCCTGACAAAGCAGGTCTCTAGTGAGGACAATGGAAGCTTAACCCCACTGGAGAGCTCTGGAGGATGGTATTGAACAAACCTCAGACGTGTTCCACCTGAGGAGCAGAAAGCTGCTGTATTTTTTTTTCCTCCAACTCTCATCCATCATTGGCTGAGGGTGGCTCCTGGGGAAATTAACACCCTGGCAGGCCCAGCCTGTCCCTCACAGGCCCTAAGGCAGAGTCATGGTCACTATCAGCCAATAATGGAATGGCAAATGCCAAGAGCAGGCATATTAATGGACTACTGACAGCAAACAGTGCATGGGATCTAGCCACCTTCCACATATTATGGGCAAGTGATGAAAGGAACAGGAAGTGGCATGGTTTGAGTACTTGTTATGTCTCAGACACTGTTGTAAATGCCATCTCATAGACTTTCACCCCAACTGTGCAGGGTAGATACAACAATCCTCATGTACAGATGAGAAAAACTGAGGCTCAGCAAAGTGAAGACACCTGCCCAATGGCACACAGCTAAGTAAGCAGCTGACCCAGGTCTGTCTGACTTAAAGCCAAGGCCCTTTCCTCGGGACACCAGAGCCTTTTGCAAACAAGAAAGCATCTTTTCACTGCTATGGAAATCCAGAATTCTTTATACCACAGGAGAGTGTCAGGGAAGCCAAGAGATTCCCTAGCCACTTCCCTTTCATTTTCAGACATAAGAGATGAAAGAGCCTCTCACCCACTGAAGGGGAGGGCCAGGTGACCCATATTGCAGATGCAGGAAATGAGGGAAGTGGGGAGATTAAATGTCTTGGCTACCGTGTGTATTCTGTGTCCAGATCACCAAGACAGTGGAGAGCCACCTGCAGAGAGAGATGGTCTCCAGAGAGCTCCCCAGGTCCCTGGGTGTCGAGCTAAACCCTTCCCTTCCTGGCTTGGAAGGCTCTCCAACCTTTCCACCGGACATCAGGAAGCCCTCTGTGACTTCACACCGTTTCCCCACAAAGTAAAATAGGCCAGACTTCAGGAATATCTTCCACCCAGGAGATTAACTG